>NC_000005.10:88291625-88594655 GCF_000001405.40 Homo sapiens
TTGAACCTGGGAGGTGGAGGTTGCAGTGAGTCGAAACCAAGCCACTGCCCTCCAGTCTGGGCAACAGATTGAGAGTCTGTCTCGAAAAAAATAAATACATAAAATAAATAAGCCACACTGTACTTGTGAAGATTAACTGAGATGTTTAAAACATTATTTGCAAAAATGCAAGACATGATGTAAGTGTAAAGCATTATTATATATCAACATAATTGACCATTAGAAAAATGCAAATTAACACCTCAATGAGATATATCACCAGACACCTGTTAGAATGGTTAAAATAAAAAGTACTGATGATATTAAGTGCTGATAAAATGCAGAGTAACTCGATCTCTCATACATTGCTGATGCTAATGTAAAATGATATCACCACTCTAGAAAACAGTTTGGCAGTTTCTTATAAAGTTAAACATGCACTTACTATACAACCCAGTAATACACCTACTGGATATTCATTCTAGGGAGATCAAAATTTACACCCAAAAACATGTACATAAATGTTCATATCAGCTTTATTTACAATAGCCCAAAAGGAAACAATCAGATGTCCTCCAATTGATAACTGGTATAACCCTATCACAGAATCCTACTGAGCAATAAAAAGGAAAGCACTGTTGATACATACAACAACTTGAGTGCATTTCAAGGCTGTTATGCTGACTGAAATAAAAGCTAATCTCAAAAGGTTATGTATTATGTGATTCTGTTTATATAACATTCTCAAATTGCAAAATCACAGCAATGAAGAACTGATCAGTAGTGCCAGGGGTTAGGGTTGTGGGGAGGGTGTGATGATGAATGGGCAGCGTAAGAGAATTTCTTTGGAGTGATGGAATAGTTTTATATCTTGATTATAGTGATCATTATATTAAACAATTGCATGTGATAAAATTCTATAGGACTGTATGCCAAAAATAACTTAATATGTTTATTTTTAAGGTCTGGAAAGCATGGAAATTTGTATCTTCATTCACTTTTGTTTTCATGGACTCTTTTCATGTTTGAACTTTTCATGGTATGAGCTGTTTTATAATCTATAATATGGAATGTTTCTCATACGAATGTTTTTCTTATTGAAGAATGCCATAGAAATAAGGGTGTGAGGTATACTTACTTGACAGGAGAATTTTACTCCTTTTATTTTATTTACTTATTTATTTTTAAGACGGAGTCCTGCTGTGTTGTCCAGGCTGGTCTTGAACCCCTGGACTCAAACGATCTTTCTCCTTGGCCTCCCAAAGTTCTGGGATTACAGGTATGAGCTACAGTGCCCTGAGAGTCCTTTTTAAAGTAGTGAATGCTCAAACATGGAATTAAATTTAGGCAAAGCTCACTTTTATTTATACATAAAACAACTTCAGCCATGTACCTCATAACGATATTTTGGCCAATGTCTGACCTTATATACAATGGTTGTCCTGTACGATTATAATGAAGCTGAAAATTTTCTATTGCCTAGTAACATTGTAGTAATTGTAATGTAGCACAACCTATCACACGTGTTTGTAGTGATGCTGGTGTAAACAAACCGACTGCATTGCCAGTCTAGTATAAAAGTCTAGCACACACAATTATCCACAGTATATAATAGTTGATAATGATAATAAACAACTGTCACTGGCTTATATATTTGCTATACTATACTTTTTATCATTATTTTAGAGTATATTTAGAGTATATTAAGCAGCCTTAGGCAGGTCTTTCAGGAGGCATTCCAGAAGAAGGCATTGTTATCATAGGAGGTGACAGCTCCCTGTGTGTTGTTGCCCCTGAAGAACTTCCAGTGGGACAAGATATGGTGGTGAAAGACAGTGATATTGATGATCTTGACCCTGTGTAGGCTTAGGCTCATGTGTTTGTGTCTTCATTCTTTTTTTTTTTTTGAGATGGGGTCTCGCACTGTTGCCCAGGCTGGAGTGCAGTGGCGCGACCTTGGCTCACTGCAAGCTCCGCCTCCTGGGTTGATGCCATTCTCCTGCCTCAGCCTCCCAAGTAGCTGGGACTACAGGTGCCCACCACTACGCCTGACTAATTTTTTGTACTTTTAGTAGAGACGGGGTTTCACCATGTTAGCCAGGATGGTCTTGATCTCCTGACCTCGTGATCCGCCCGCCTCGGCCTCCCAAAGTGCTGGGATTACAGTATTTAAGACATTTTTATAAATTAAAAATTTTTTAAATAGAAAAAAGCCTATAGCATAAGGATATAAAGAAAAAGTATTTTTATGCAGCTGCACAATGTATTTGTGTTTTAAACTGTGTTATTATGCAAGAGTTACAGAGTTTTTAAAAATAAAAAGTTTATAAAGTAAAAAACTTACAACACATCAAAAGATAATACACCATGATCAAGTGGGCTTTATCCCAGGGATGCAAGCATAGTTCAACATATGCAAATTAATAAGTGATATCAACAGAATGAAGGACAAAAGCTTTATGATCATCTTAACAGATACAGAAAAGCATTTGATAAAATTTAACTTCCTTCATGATAAAAACTCTCGAAGGAACATACCTCAGCATATTAAGGGCCATATATGGTTAACCCAGAGCTAAAATCATACTGAACAGGGAAAAGCTGAAAGCCTTCCTGCAAAGAACTGGAACAAGACAAGGATGACCACTTGCACCACTCTTATTCAACATGGTACTGGAAGTCCTAGCCAGAGCAATCAGGCAAGAGAAAGAATTAAAAGACATCCAGTTGGAAAAAAGGAGGTCATATATTTTCTCTGCAGACAACATAATCTTATATCTAGAAAAACCTGAAGACTCCACCAAAAAGGGTGAGCATGGTGACTCATGCCTGTAATCTCAGCACTTTGAGAGGCTGAGGCAGGAGGATCACTTGAGCCCAGGGGTTCAAGACCAGCCTGGACAACATAGTGAGACCCCAATCTCTAAAAAAAGTTAAAAACTTTAGCCAGGTGTGGTGGCACATGCCTGTTGTCCTAGCTGCTTGTGAGCCTGGGGTGGGAGGATCACTTGAGCCCTGGAGTTTAAGGCTGCAGTGAGCAATGATCATGCCACTGCACTGTAGCCTGGGTTGTGACAGCGCAAGACACTGTTAATAAACAAGACAAAACAGACTCCATCAAAAAGCTCTTAGAGCTGATAAACAAATTCAGTAAAGTTTCAGGATCCAAAACCAACATGCAAAAATCAGTAGTGTTTCTATACGCCAATAACAAACAAGCTGAAAAATACATTAAGAAAGCAATTCCATTTACAATAGCTACAAAAAAAAAAACTTAGAAATAAATGTAACCAAGGCGGTAAAAGACCTCTATGCCATAAACGACAGAACATTGATGAAAGAAATTGAAAAGGACACAAATAGATATCCCATGTTCATGGATAGAAATAATTAATATTGTTAAAATGACCATACTACTGAAAGTAATCTACAGATTCAATGCAGTCCCTATCAAAACACCAATAAAATTACTCACAGAAATAGAAAAAAAAATCCTAAAATTTGTGTGGAACAACAAAGGCCCTAGGTAGCCAAAGCATTCCTGAGCAAAAATTATAAAGTGAGAGGCATTGCCCAACCAGACTTCAAAATATACTACTAAGCTAAGTAACCCAAACAACATGTTACTGGTATAAAAACAGACACATATACCAATGGAACAGAATAGAGAACCCAAGAATAATCTATCTATTTATAGCCAACTGATTTTTTGTGAACATGCCAAGAATATACATTGGGGAAAGGATATTCTCTTTAATAAATCATGTTGGGAAAATTGGATATCCGTATACAGAAGAATGACACTAAACTCCTATCTCTCACCATATACAAATATCAATTCAAAATGAATTTAAAAACTTAAATATGAGACTCCAAACTGTAAAACTACTAAAAGAAAACACAGAAGAAACACTTCAGGACATTGGTCTACATTGGTCTAGCCAAAGATTTTATGTCTAAGACTTCAAAAGCATAGGCAACAGAAACAAAAATAAATAAATGGGATTATATGAAACTAAAAAACTTCTGCACAGCAAAGGAAACAATCAACAGAGTGAAGAGATGACTTGTAGAGTGACAGAAAGTATTTGCAAACTATTAATCTGATAAGGGACTAATATCCAGAATATACAAGAAACTCAACAGGAAAAAAAAAGTCCCATTAAAAAGTGGGCGAAGGATCTGAATAGATATTTCTCGAAAGAAAACAAGCAAACGGCCAACAAATACATGAAAAAATGCCCAACATCACTAATCATCAGGGAAATGCAGATCAAAACCACAGTGAGATATCATCTCACCCCAGTTAGAATGGCTATTATCAAAAAGGCAAAAAATAGGTGTGGTGGCATGTGTCTGTGATCCCAGCTACTCAGGAGGTTGGGGCCAGGAATTTAAGCTGCAGTGCGCTATGATCACACCTGTGATCACTGCACTCTAGCCTGGGCAACATAATGAGAACCCATCTCTAAAAAAATACTAATAATTAAACATTTTTAAGAAGACAAGAAATAAATGCTGACCAGGATTCAGAGAAAAAGAAACATACGCTGTTGGTGAGAATGTAAATTAGTACAGCTATTGGCCAGGTGCAGTGGCTTACGCCTGTAATCCCAGCACTTTGGGAGGCCAAGGTGGGCAGATCACTTGAGGCCAGGAGTTCAAGACTTGCCTGGCCATCTCTACTAAAAATACAAAAATTAGCCAGGCATGATGGGACACACCTGTAATCCCAGCTACTTGGGAGGCTGACGTGGGAGAATCATCTGAGCTTGAGAGGTGGAGATTGCAGTGAGCCGAGATCATGCCTCTGCACTCCAGCCTGGGTGACAGAGTGAGACTCCATCTCAAAACACACACACACACACAAAAAAAAAACAATACAGCCATTATGGAAAACAGTATGGAGGTTTCTCAAAAACTGAAAATACAACTTCCGTATGATCCAGCAATCCCACTACTGGGTATTTATCTCCCCAGAAGGGAAATCAGTATATCAAAGAGACATCTTCACTCCATTGTTTATTGCAGCACTATTCACAATAGTCAAGGTATGAAATCAAACTAAGCATCCCTCAACAGATGGATAAAGAAAATGTGCTATATATACACAATGGAATACTATTCTGCAACAAAAAGGGAATAAAATCCTATCATTGTAGCAATATGGACAGAACTGGAGGTCATTATGTTAAGTGCGATTAGCCAGGTACAGAAAGACAAATATTGCATGATCTCACTCATGTGGGAGCTAAGAAAGTTGATCTCATGGAGGTAGAGAGTAGAAAAAAAGTTGAGATTAGGAAGGGTGTGGTGGAGTGAGTAAAGTGAGGTTGGTTAAAGGGTAGAAACACAGAAAGAAGGGATAAGTTCTAATGTTTAATAGCATGTAGGATGGCTATAGTTAACAATAATTTATTGTATATTTAAAAATAGCTGCAAGAGAATATTTGAAATGTTCACAACACAAAGAAATAATAAATGTTTGAGGTAATGGATATCCTAAATACATTGATTTGATCCTTACACATTGTATGCATGTACCCCAGAAATATGTATATTTATTAGATATCAATAGTTTTTTAAAAGTTAAAAAGGAACAAAACCATGAAAAATTTATAGTAAGCTAAGATTAATTTATTATTTAAGAAATATTTTTAAAAATACATTTGGGGTAGCCTAAGTGTACAGTGTTTATAAAGTCTACAGTACTAGACAGTAATGTCCTCAGCCTTCACATTCACTCACCACTCACTCACTGACTCACCCAGAACAACTTCCAGTACTGCAAGCTCTGTTCATGGAAGTGCCCTAGACAGGTGTACCATTTTTAATCTTTTATACTGTATTTTTACTGTATCTTTTCTGTGTTTAGATACCAAAGTACTTCCCATTGTGTTACAATTGCTTAGAGCATTCAGTACAGTAACATGCTATGTTTATAATCTAAGAGTAATCAGCTATACTGTACAGTCTAGGTGTGTAGTAGGCAATACCATCTAGGCTTGTGTAAGTATATTCTATGATTTTCATACAACAAAATCACCTAATGATGCATTTCTCAGAACTTATTCTTGTCTGTTAAGCAACATGTGACTGTGTTTTATTCTTATTTTTAAATTTTACATCATCTTTTCAAGGAAACCTCTGGAAAAAAAAATTATACCAAAATTTTCACTGCCCACTCAAAGTGGTCTATTTTTACTGTTTATCTTACAACTGAAGAGACTATCCATGCCTTGCTAAATTCTACTTTAGCTGCTGAGTCTGTCTATATACTTAATAAATTTACTGTCATTCAAATTACATAATAAACATAGGAGCTTACAATTACTTTTCTAGGATAAAATCTATGCAGGAAGTTTGTCTCAAGAGAGGAATTTTTGCTGGGTGGCACATGTCTGTAATCCCAGCACTTTGGGAGGCTGAGATGGGAGGCTCACTTGAGCCCAGGTGTTCAAGATCAGCCTAGGCAACATTGTGAGACTCCATATCTAAAAAAAAAAATTTTTTTTAATAACTGGGTGTGGTGGCATGCACCTGTAGTTCCAGCTACAAGGGAGGCTGAGGTGGGAAGATTGCTTGAGCTCAGGAGGTCGAGGTTGTAGTGATCTGTGATCATACTGCTGCACTCCAGTTTGGGTGACAGAGTGAGACCCTATCTCAAAAACAACATAAAAAGTGGATTTTTAATAAGATAATCCTTATGGATACTAAAATATTAGCTTTCTTTGGGAAGTATAACTTCTGTCAATGAGATTACCAATATTTGCCAATATTTTCAGTCTTCCTGTCTTTTCTGGATATGTAAAATTCTACATTTCTTAGTTCTGCAAGTTGAGCAGGGCCATGTGACTATATCTACCAATGGACAGTGACCAAAGGTGATATGTATCACTTCCATGCCAAAGCATGTAAGAGTCAGTGTATGATTTGCCCATCCATACTGTCTTTTCTGGAACAAAGAGCCCTGAGATATCACATTGAAATGGAGACACCAGGAAAAGGGAGCAATCTGGAATGTTGAGTCACTATGTGAAGGGCTGACATGGAGAAACTCCTGCACTCTTGGCAGATTTGCCTGAGTAAGAAACTGTCATGTGATAGGACTCTCAGATTTTTGTTTAGTTTATAACTATCAGCATTATTCCCTAGCCTATCCTGACAAACAGAATCTGTACCTAACTTGGTTTGTTGTGTTAAAAGTTTTCATGGCCTTTTGTGCTCCCATACATTAGATGAACAGTTGTATATACATTTTCAAATTTTCCAGTAAGGAAGTATTTAATATGATAAACATTTCAATTAATAATTTGTTCTATTAGTCTCTAGTACCAACTTAAGATGTCAAATTTCTAATCTAAATGAACAATACTTTTAATTACATATATAACTTTATCTCATACTTATACCCTGTGTTAATCATTACCAAACAATAGAAAGGGTACATTTTTGTTGTTGTTGTTGTTGTTATTGTTGTTGTTTTGTTGTTGTTGTTTTGAGATGGAGTTTCATTCTTGTCAACCAGGCTGGAGCACAATGCCACGATCTCAGCTCACTGAAACCTCCACCTCCTGTGTTCAAGCGATTCTCCCATCTCAGCCTCCCAAGTAGCTGGGATTACAGGCACGCACCATCACGCCTGGCTAATTTTTGTATTTTTAGTAGAGATGGGGTTTCACCATGTTGGCCAGGCTGGTCTCGAACTCCTGACCTCAGGTGATTCATCCATCTCAGCCTCCCAAAGTGCTGGGATTACAGGCGTGAGCCACTGCGCTGGGCCAGGTACATTTGTGTATGCAGTCTTCTTTTTAAATATTTTTAAAAATATTATTTTAAAAAATATTTTGTAGAGACAAGCTTTCACTATGTTTCCCAGGCTGGTCTCGAACTTCTGGCCTCAAGCGATTCTTTTGCCTCAGCCTCCAAAACTACTGGGATTACAGCATGAGCCATCATGCCCAGCTATACAGCCTTCTAATTTACTAAATAACGTTGATGTGCTTGATCATGTTCCCTGGAAAACAGACCCTGAGAAGGAGATTTGCATGCAGGAATATTTATTCGAGAATGCTCTTAGAATCAACACTGGTGAAATGCAGGATTGAGTAGAGGGAGAAGTTCACTGTGATGTACTTACAATAAAGCCTAAGCTGACCCTAGGATGGCTCTAAAGCTAGAGTGGCACTTTAGAGGCATCCCAAATGAAGGCAGGGGGTTGAACCTCTGTATGTACATCAATGGCCACTCATTTATCTAATGGCTGACTCCTGGAGATGAGTGTGACCTTGAGTAAGGCTGAGAGCAATTCCTGTATGGAGCTGATATTTTGAGAGCTGTCAGCCAACGTCATTCCCAGAAGCTGAGCAAAGAATTCTTTCAGCCCTGAAAAGGAATCTGGGTAGTATAGCTGTGTTCAATACAACTGATAATCATAAAGGGACATGTATCTATCTGAAGTTGTTAGATGATCACCAACACCACCACCACCACCATCATCATTGTCATCATCATCACATTTACACTGATAACTTTAGTATGTGCCAGGCACTTGTCCTAAGTGCTTCGAAATAATATATTAACTTGTGTAATTCTCATGTTAACCCTATAATATAATCTTAAATTCTTTGTCCTCAAAAATAAAAATCAATATAAGTGCTTTTTCTGTAACACATTCCAATCCAGAATGCTTTACTAATGACCATTCAGTAATTTCCATTGTATGTTATTTTATCCATCATGAACAGCCCCATTTGGTGATAGTCATTGGCCAAGATAGTTACTTTTGCTCATGGGTTGCATCTTCTAAATAATGGATGGTATTATGATGTCTGTAATTTACTTTCAAATAAATGATCACAGATAATATGATACTGTGTGGATATATGTGTGTGTGTGATATTATGTGTGTTAATTTAGGCTATAAGTGCACTTGTTTGCCATAATTAAGAAGTCACATTCCCATGTATGGTCAGAAAGTATTTAATCAAAAGGCCGCACTCCAGAGGAAGCTATGTCAAGTGCTCAAGTCGTACTTATCTTGAACAACGCTATAATTTTTCTAATTAGTATATTGAATATAAGCAATGTGGCAATGTGTTTTCACTGGTGAAATTAGTGTTGTTCAAAGTGTGTGCATTGGCTAATATATTTTAGACATTCTGCCTTTGCAAAATGGGTTGTAAAAATCTAGTAAGCATCATAATCTTTATCCTTAGGAATGGCATCCAAGGTTTGATTTCTAAAATGTCCCTTATCTAGCTATTGATTCCATGGATTCTGGTTGCCTAAATCCTGCCTCAATATTGCCGCGTTTGCCTTAAATGAACTTTCATACATGTGGTAGTCATATATGATAGCCAGCCTCCAAGTTGGCCGTCAATGACCTGACACCAATGATCCTTAGTGTTCATCTCTTTTTATAGTCTCTTCCCATATCAAATAGAGCTGGTCTGTGTAACCAATAAGATATTCTGGAAACGTGAAGATTAATTCGTCAGTAATGTGAGTGAGCCATCTTGGAAGCAGACCATCCAGTCCCAGTTAAGCCTTAGGTAACAACAGCCCTGGCCAACATCTTGATTCATGAGAGACCCTGAACCAAAACTATCCAGCCAACCTACTCTCAAATCCCTGACCTACAGAAACTCTGATATAATAAATATTTATTGTTGTTTCAAGTCACTAAATTTTGGGGTAAATTGTTGTGCATCATGGATAACTAATACATGAAAGAGAGAATTGGATGTTAATTGAGTTTATTGAAGAGATTATATGAATTGTTGTGTGTATGACTCCCTGTCAATAACTGTTTATTTTAATTTTTTGAGATGGAGTCTCACTCTGTCTCCCAGGCTGGAGTGCAGTGGCATGATCTTGGCTCACGGCAGCCTCCGCCTCGCAGGTTCAAGCGATTCTCTGCCTCATCCTCCTGAGTAGCTGGAATTACAGGCGTGTGCCAGGACGTCCAGCTAATTTTTGTGTTTTTTCAGAGACAGGGTTATGTCATGTTGGCCAGGCTGGTCTTGAACTCCTGGCCTCAAGTGATCTGCCCACCTCAGCCTCCCAAAGTGCTGGGATTATAGGCATGAGCCACCACATTCAGCCATAGTTTTTTAATGTTTGTGTGTACAACAGAATTTGGCCCAAGACTTGCTTTATTGTAACTTAGTAGCCAACCCTTTCACTCAACAGTTGGTGACTACCTTTATCTGTCAAAAAGAACAAAATAGTTGTGTGTGACCAAACTTGCTTAGATCGTTTTGCAAGAGAGCCATATTAATTTTTCTATGATAAAAAAATCAAGCCTATGATGGCTTGATTCAATCCACTTCTCTTTATCACCCTGTTCACTCCAGTCCAGTCATCTGTCACTTGGTCTATTACAATAACCTTTTAACTCATTTATGCATATTCATTGGTCTTTTTCCATCCCATCATCAACATTAAAGTTAGAGTAGGCTTTTAAAAATACAAGGCTATTTATGTAATTTCCCCCATTTAAAATCTTTCAGTGCTCGGGCTGGTCATGGTGGCTCACACCTGTAATCCCAGCACTTTGGGAGGCTAAGGCAGGAGGATCACCTGAGCCCAGGAATTTGAGACCAGCCTGGGCAACACAGTGACTGATCTCATCTCTAAAAAATAAAAGATTTAGCTGAGGGTGGTGGCACAGCCCTAGCTACTAGGGAGGTTGAGGTGGAAGGATTGCTTGAGCCCAGTAGTTCGAAGCTGCAGTGAGCCATGATCATGCCACTACACTCCAACCTGGGTGACAGAGTGAGATTCTATCTCTAAAAAATTAAGAGTAAAAATAATAAAATAATATAAAATCTTTCAGTGCTTGAAAAAATAAGGCAAAGACATAAGTTAACATGACCTATAAAACCTTTCCATCCTTGTCTTGCACTCTTCTTTCTCTTACACTCTGTGACCCCACCTCACACTGGCCTTTTTTCAATTACTAGTACTCTTTCTATTCCCACTTACCACAGAGAATTTGTACATGGTGTTTCTTCTGCCTTGAAATCTCTTCTGTTTCCTCTTTGTCTAGTTTAAGGCTGCCTATCTTTCATATCTAGTGCATATGTGAGTCCCTCAGCAAAACTTTCCCTAATCTCCCTGATTGATTCTCATAGCATCATACATCCCTCCTTTGTGTGCCAGGAACATTGCAATTTTACATTTGTTTGTGTAACTATTTGATTAATGTTCATGTTGACTGCTAGTACATTCTATGAAAGTAGGTACCATATCTGATATCACTCACTCATGTATGCCTTGGGGTCTACCACGGTGCTGAAAATGTGGTGCATATTTGATAAATATTTGACGAATATATGAATAACTGATTGACTAATTTAATGAGTTCAGGTGGCTACTAATGTCGCTTCAGAGTGAGAGTGCCTAGTTTCAAATTTTGGCAGTTCCTAACTGCAATGTTAGGGACGATTTTATCTCATTTTTCCTTCGATTTGTTCTCTGTAAATTGGGAATAATAATTACCTTATAGAGTTTTGAAAGGATTAAATGAGCTAGTATACATTAAAGACTTAAAGCAGTCCTTAACACAGCAAGTACTTTATGCATATATGATAGCTACAAGTATGATTATTAACATCCTTAGTCAATCTGTCATACTAGTTCCTTAGGCCATGGCCACCAGTTCCTTGGGTAAATTCATTCTTTACTTGTAGATGCCAAATTTCAACTGTCTGTGTAAGAAACAAGAAGCTATGTCAAAGACAAAAATTGAGGATGGAAGCATATAATTATTATTAGGTGGTGCAATTTTGACTTAGGTATAGGGATGCTAATGTTAGCCCCACATCACTGATATTTATTTGATATTTACTATTTATACAAAGAGACCAAAGGAGCAGATTTTGTATTTAATGAGGGAGAGCCTCAAAGAGTTCTATACCTACCTTTTAGTAATGCATCGCAAAGAGTTGAGTCCACCATCTCTCCATAAGTTTTTGCTTTGGCTATTAATTTTTGGGATTCCCTTATTAATCTTTATTTGAGCCTCAAACAATGGTAAAATATTAACATCATATAAAATGCTATTGCTCTCTTTGGGCTATAGACCTTCCACACTAAGGCCCTGACTTTAAAATGCTAAAGCAATAGGTTTATAACTTTTGAATATTATATGTTAGAAACTATTGAGATGATATTCATTCTTATTAAACAGTAGAAATGTTCTTCATGCTCAGTGCAAAGGCAGCAATGGTTGGATTTATTTAGTTACTAATGCTTTTTACAGAAGTCGTGAATGTTAGCATTTTATTATATTCAGGGTCTCCACTTACAGACATGTCCATTGTAAGCTGCCATTGATTTAGGCAATAGGTCATAAACTGAAGAGTTGTTTTTGGTTAAGTGTTACCAGTGATGCATTCTGTTCTTTGTTTACTACCAACCACGCAAAACAATACTTTGTACTTTGCAAAGAAACTGAGATCACCCAGTCCTTGCAACTTAGGTCATTTCAGTCTGGGTGAAAAAAAAAACTCTTTTCAACTCTTTGCCAGTTCCTCCTGGCTTTTTGAGAAGGAGATACCTCTGAAAGAAAATAGATCAAAGTTACATGAGACTAAGGGCAGATCATATAGCTATACTTTGTAGTCTGTTGAAAACAGAACTAGCTTTACTGGAAAAGAGATCTACTGTTGTAGCTATAAGGGGCAGAGGGAAGGTTAGAGGGAAGGTTACTAACCTAAAAATCCAACCACCATCCCTCTACTAGTTTGTCAGACTTTAATATTCCACCATCAGAAATTCATTTTAAAACATAATTTAAAAGATTTTAAAAGATAATTCCTTAAAGCAGTCACCTGTGGAAAAAAGTGAATTCTCTATCAAATCCTTTTCCTGAAAGTGAATTTCCTGAAAGCACTAAGACTGAGAGGTAACACTGGCTCCTGAAGTTCGGATTTGACTGTAGGGGTGCTGTGGAGAGGAAAGGTTGGAAGAGCACAGACTGCTTTTGAAGAGAGGCTAGCAGGAAATCTCTGGCCATGGAAAACAGTGATTTCAATGTGTAAAGACTATGAGGAAAAAGAGAAAAAGAAGTGGATTTTTTTTTAATTTGCTGTTCTGGACGTCTGTAATAGAAGAAAGGAAACATGTTACCTCTGCTGAGATAAAGTGAAGGGACACTCAGACAAGATTGGAGGGTCATTATCTTTTCATACCTAGAATGTGAGAACAACTTCACTTCCCTAAATATTCTGGTCTTTAGTTTTTGTCTGATTATTATTATGCCAAATTCATTCCTATTTATAAAGTGATTAGTATATACAAAGCCCCTTGAAAGTAATAAAAAAAATTTTTAAGTTTTTGGTTTTGGGGGAGCTTTCCATGTGTACTCTCTCCTAGTAATTCTTTCATCAATATACAAATCATTTACCTGTTAAACTAGACATAATAGATTAAGGGTCTCTCCATGATAAGTGAGGAAACACAGGTCACTTTGTCTTGTAGTAAGGAACCAAGGAAAGTAAAGATGGGATGAATAGACAAGGAAGGAGGCTGGTACAGATTTATAAGTTTAGTTTTTATTATGTCCTTGGTATTTGCCAGTTGGACTAGAAAGGAAAAGCTATATATGAAAAAAAAAAACTATCACCTTATGCTAAGCAAAGGAATTTTGTGGCAGAATGAAAATTTGCTAATGGGTATAGGGGATATAGAAATGGGAGGAACAGAGTGGTTGTACCCATTTAAACCCCACCAACAATGTATAGAAGTAGTAGTGCTGATTTTGAAAGTATGTAATGGAATCTGAGTATGGTTTTAATTGTCAGTTCCCTGATGAATAATGATATTGAATTCTTTTTAATTTGCTTGTTGTCTGTTTAAATATCTACATTTATGAAAGGCCTACTTGAATCTTTTGTTCATTTCTTAAAACATTGAGTTGTCTTTCTCTTACTGATTTGTAGTCAAGTTTTATATATTTTGGGTACAAGTCATATGTCAATAGTTGTTTTACATTTTTCTTCTCCTAATCTGTAGATCATTGCTCACTCTCTTAATGATATGTTTCAATGAACAGAAGTTTTTAATTTTAATGAAGTCTGTTTGATCAAACTCTTCTTTCATGGTCAGTGCTTTTTGTATTTAAGAAAACATTACCAGGGGGTATTCCAAGATGGCCAAATAGGAACAGCTCTAGTCTGCAGCTCCCAGCGTGATTGACGCAGAAGACAAGTGATTTCTGCATTTCTAACTGAGGTATCTGGTTCATCTCATTGGGACTGGTTGGACAGTGGGTGCAGCCCACGGAGAGTGAGCTGAAGCAGGACAGGGCATCACCTCACCTGGGAAGTGCAAGGGGTCGGGAATTTCTCTTTCCTAGCCAAGGGAAGCCATGACAGACTACCTGGAAAAACGGGACACTCTCCGCCCAAATACTGCACTTTTCCCAAAGTCTTAGCAACCAGCAGACAAGGTGATTCTCTCCTGTGCCTGGCTCAGTGGGTCCCAGGCCCATGGAGTCTTGCTCACTGCTAGCGCAGCAGTCTGAGATCGATCTTTGAGGTAGCAGCCTGGCCGGGGGAGGGGTGCCTGCCATTGCTGAGGCTTGAGTAGGTAAACAAAGTGGCTGGGAAGCTCGAACTGGTTGGAGCCCACCGCAGCAAGGCCTACTGCCTCTAGACTCCACTTCTGTGGGCAGGGCATAGCTGAACAAAAGGCAGCAGACAACTTCTGTAGGCTTAAACATCCCTGTCTGACAGCCCTGAAGAGAGCAGTGGTTCTTCCAGCACGGCGTTTGAGCTCTGAGAACCGACAGACTGCTTCCTCAAGTGGATCCCTGACCCCTGTGTAGCCTAACTGGGAGACACCTCCCAGTAGGGGCTTACCTCATATAGGCGGCTGCCCTTCTGGGATGAAGCTTCCAGAGGAAGGATTAGGCAGCAATATTTGCTGTTCTGCAGTATTTACTATTCTGCATCCTCCGCTGGTGATAACCAGGCAAACAGGGTCTGGAGTGGAACTCCAACAAACTCCAGCAGACCTGCTGCTGAGGGACCTGACTGTTAGAACGAAAACTAACAAACAGAAAGGAATAGCATCAACATCAACAAAAAGGTCATCTACACCAAAACTCCATCTGTAGGTCACCAACATCAAAGACCAAAGGTAGATAAAACCACAAAGATGGGGAGAAACCAGAGCAGAAAAGCTGAAAATTCTAAAAATCAGAGCACGTCTTCTCCTTCAAAGGATCACAGCTCCTCGCCACCAACAGAACAAAGCTGGACACAATGATTTTGACAAGTTGACAGAAGTAGGCTTCAGAAGGTTGATAGTAACATACTCTGAGCTAAAGGAGGATGTTTGAAACCATCACAAGGAAGCTAAAAACCTTGAAAAAACATTAGATGAATGGCTAACTAGAATAAACAGTGTAGAGAAGACCTTAAATGACCTGATGGAGCTGAAAACCATGGCATGAGAACTTCGTGATACATGCACAAGCTTCAATAGCTGATTTCATCAAGTGGAAGAAAGGGTATCAGTGATTGAAGATCAAATTCATGAAAAAAAGTGAGAAGAAAAGATTAGAGAAAAAACAGTAAAAAGAAACAAACAAAGCCTCCAAGAAATATGGGACTATGTGAAAAGACCAAATCTACATTTCATTGGTGTACCTGAAAGTGACAGGGAGAATGGAACAAAGTTGGAAAACCCTCTGCAGGATATTATCCAGGAGAACTTCCCCAACCTTGCAAGGCAGGCCAACATTCAAACTCAGGAAATACAGAGAACACCACAAAGATACTCCTTGAGAAGAGCAATTCTGAGACACATAATTGTCAGATTCACCAAGGTTGAAATGAAGGAAAAAATGTTAAGGGCAGCCAGAGAGAAAGGTTGAGTTACCCACAAAGGGAAGCCCATCAGACTAACAGCAGATCTCTTGGCAGAAACCCTACAAGCCAGAAGAGTGGGGCCAATATTCAACATTCTTAAAGAAAATAATTTTCAACCCAGATTTCATATCCAGCCAAACTAAGCTTCATTAGTGAAGGAGAAATAAAATCCTTTACAGACAAGCAAATGCTGAGAGATTTTGTCACCACCAGGCCTGCCCTACAAGAGCTCGTGAAGGAAGGCACTAAACATGGAAAGGAACAACCGGTACCAGCCACTGCAAAAACATGCCAATTTGTAAAGACCATCGATGCTATGAAGAAACTGCATCAATTAATGGGCAAAATAACCAGTGAACATCATAATGACAGGATCAAATTCACACATAACAATATTAACCTTAAATGTAAATGGGCTAAATGACCCAATTAGAAGACACAGACTGGCAAATTGGATAAAGAGTCAAGACCCATCAGTGTGCTGTATTCAGGAGACCCATCTCATGTTGGAAAACACACATAGGCTCAAAATAAAGGGACAGAGGAAGATCTACCAAGCAAATGGAAAGAAAAAAAAAGCAGAGGTTGCAATTCTAGTCTCTGATAAAACAGACTTTCAACCAACAAAGATCAAAAGTGACAAAGAAGGCCATTACATAATGGTAAAGGGACAATTCAACAAGAAGAGCTAACTATCCTAAATATATAGGCACCCAATACAGGAGCACCCACCTTCATAAAACAAGTCCTTAGAGACGTACAAAGAGACCTAGACTCTCATACAATAGTAATGGGAGGCTTTAACATCCCCCTGTCAATATTAGACAGATCAATGAGACAGAAGGTTAACAAGGATATCCAGGACTTGAACTCAGCTCTGCAACAAGTGGACCTAATAGACATCTACAGAACTCTCCATCCCAAATCAACAGAATTTACATTCTTCTCAGCACCACATTGCACTTATCCTAAAATTGACCACATAATTGGAAGTAAAGCACTCCTCAACAAATGTAAAAGAACAGAAATCACAACAAACTGTCAGACGACAGTGCAATCAAATTAGAACTCCGGATTAAGAAACACACTCAAAACCACACAACTACATGGAAACTGAACAACTTGCTCCTGAATGACTACTGGGTAAATAACGAAATGAAGGCAGATATAAAGATGTACTTGGAAACCAATGAGAACAAAGACACAACATACCAGAATCTCTGGGACACATTTAAAGCAGTGTGTAGAGGGAAATTTATAGCACTAAATGCCCACAAGAGAAAGCAGGAAAGATCTAAAATCGACACACTAACATGTCAATTAAAAAAACTAGAGAAGGAAGAGCAAACAAATTCAAAAGCTAGCAGAAGGCAAGAAATAACTAAAATCAGAGCAGAACTGAAAGAGATAGAGACACAAAAAACCCTTCAAAAAATTAATGAATCCAGGAGCTGTTTTTTTGAAAAGATCAACAAAATTGATAGAGACCACTAGCAAGACTGGTAAAGAAGAAAAGAGAGAAGAATCAAATAGATGCAATAAAAAATGATAAAGGGGATATCACCACTGATCCCACAGAAATGAAAACTACCATCAGAGAATACTATAAACACCTCTACGAAAATAAACTAGAAAACCTAGAAGAAATGGATAAATTCCTGGACACATACACTCTCCCAAGACTAAACCAGGAAGAAGTTCAATCTCTGAATAGACCAATAACAGGCTCTGAAATTGAGGCAACAATTAATAGCCTACCAACCAAAAGAAGTCCAGGACCAGACGGATTCACAACTGAATTCTACCCGAGGTACAAAGAGGATCTGGTACCATTACTTCTGCAGCTATTCCAATCAACAGTAAAAAAGGGAATCCTCCCTAGCTCATTTTATGACACCAACATCATTCTAATACCAAAGCCTGGCAGAGAAACAACAAAAAAAGAGAATTTTTGACCAATATCCCTGATGAACATCGATGCAAAAATTCTCAATAAAATATTGGCAAACTGAATCCAGCAGCACATCAAAAAGCTTATCCATCACGATCAAGTCGGCTTCATGACTGGGATGCAAGACTGGTTCAACATATGCAAATCAATAAATGTAATCCATCACATACACAGAACCAATGACAAAAACCACATGATTATCTCAATAGATGCAGAAAAGGCCTTTGACAAAATTCAACAGCCCGTCATACTAAAAACTCTCAATAAACTAGGTTTTGATGGCATGTATCTCAAAATAATAAGAGCTATTTGTGACAAACCCACAGCCAATATCATACTGAATGGGCAAAAACTGGAAGCATTCCCTTTGAAAACCAGCACAAGACAAGGGTGTCCTCTCTTACCACTCCTGTTCAACGTAGTGTTGGAAGTTCTGGCCAGGGCAATCAGGTAAAATAAATAAAGGGTATTCAACTAGGAAATAAGAAAGTCAAATTGTCCCTGTTTGCAGATGACATGATTGTGTATTTTGAAAACCCCGTCGTCTCAGCCCAAAATCTCCTTAAGCTAATAAGCAACTTCAGCAAAATCTCAGGATACAAAATCAATGTGCAAAAATCACAAGCATTCCTGTACACCATTAACAGACAAACAGAGCCAAATCATGAGTGAACTCCCATTCACAATTGCTACAAAGAGAATAAAATACCTAGGAATCCAACTTACAAGGGATGTGAAGGACCTCTTCAAGGAGAACTACAAACCACTCCCCAACGAAATAAAAGAGGACACAAACAAATAGAAGAATATTCCGTGCTCATGGATAGGAAGAATCAATATCATGAAAATGGCCAAACTGCCCAAAGTAATTTATAGATTCAATGCCATCCCCATCAAGTTACCAATGACTTTCTTCACAGAATTGGAAAAAACTACTTTCAAGTTCGTATGGAACCAAAAAAAGAGCCCATGTTGCCAAGACAATCCTAAATCAATGTTCATCAAGGATATTGGTCTAAAATTCTCTTTTTGTTGTGTCTCTCCCAGGCTTTGGTATCAGGATGATGCTGGCCTCATAAAATGAATTAGGGAGGATTCCCTCTTTTTCTATTGATTGGAATAGTTTCAGAAGGAATGGTACCAGCTCCTCCTTGTACCTCTGGTAGAATTCGACTGTGAATCCATCTGGTCCTGGACATTTTTTCGTTGGTAAGCTATTAATTATTGCCTCAATTTCAGAGCCTGTTATTGGTCTATTCAGAGATTCAACTTCTTCCTGGTTTAGTCTTGGGAGGGTATATATGTTGAGGAATTTATCCATTTCTTCTAGATTTTCTAGTTTATTTGCGTAGAGGAGTTTATAGTATTTTCTGATGGTAGTTTGTATTTCTGTGACATCGTTGGTGATATCCCCTTTGTCATTTTTTATTGCGTCTATTTGATTCTTCTCTCTTTTCTTCCTTATTAGTCTTGCTAGCAGTCTATCAATTTTGTTGATCTTTTAAAAAAACCAGCTCCTGGATTCATTGATTTTTCGAAGGGTTTTTTGTGTCTCTATTTCCTTCAGTTCTGCTATGATCTTAGTTATTTCTTGCCTTCTGCTAGCTTTTGAATGTGTTTGCTCTTGCTTCTCTAGTTCTTTTAATTGTGATGTTAGGGTGTCAATTTTAGATCTTTCCTGCCTTCTCTTGTGGGCATTTAGTGCTGTAAATTTCCCTCTACACACTGCTTTGAATGTGTCCCAGAGATTCTGGTATGTTGTGTCTTTGTTCTCACTGGTTTCAAAGAACATCTTTATTTCTGCCTTCATTTCGTTATTTACCCAGTAGTCATTCAGGAGCAGGTTGTTCAGTTTCCATGTAGTTGAGCAGTTTTGAGTGAGTTTCTTAATTCTGAGTTCTAGTTTGATTGCACTGTGGTCTGAGAGACAGTTTGTTATAATTTCTCTTCTTTTACATTTGCTGAGGAGAGCTTTACTTCCAACTATGTGGTCAATTTTGGAATAGGTGTGGTGTGGTGCAGAAAAGAATGTATATTCTGTTGATTTTGGGTAGGGAGTTCTGTAGATGTCTATTAGGTCCGCTTGGTGCAGAGCTGAGTTCAATTCCTGGATATCCTTTTTAACTTTCTGTCTCGTTGATCTGTCTAATGTTGACAGTGGGGTGTTAAAGTCTACCATTATTATTGTGTGGGAGTCTAAGTCTCTTTGTAGGTCACTGAGGACTTGCTTTATGAATCTGGGTGCTCCTGTATTGGGTGCATATATATTTAGGATAGTTAGCTCTTCTTGTTGAATTGATCCCTTTACCATTATGTAATGGCCTTCTTTGTCTCTTTTGATCTTTGTTGGTTTAAAGTCTCTTTTATCAGAGACTAGGATTGCAACTCCTGCCTTTTTTTGTTTTCCATTTGCTTGGTAGATCTTCCTCCATCCCTTTATTTTGAGCCTATGTGTGTCTCTGCACGTGAGATGGGTTTCCTGAATACAGCAAACTGATGGGTCTTGACTCTTTATCCAATTTGCCAGTCTGTGTCTTTTAATTGGAGCAGTTAGCCCATTTACATTTAAGGTTAATATTGTTATGTGTGAATTTGATCCTGTCATTATGATGTTAGCTGGTTATTTTGCTCGTTAGTTGTTGCAGTTTCTTCCTAGCCTTGATGGTCTTTACAATTTGGTGTGTTTCTTCAGTGGCTGGTACCGGTTGTTCCTTTCCACATTTAGTGCTTCCTTCAGGAGCTCTTGTAGGGCAGGCCTGGTGGTGACAAAATCTCTCAGCATTTGCTTGTCTGTAAAGGATTTTATTTCTCCTTCACTAATGAAGCTTAGTTTGGCTGGATTTGAGATTCTGGGTCAAAAATTCATTTCTTTAAGAATGTTGAATATTGGCCCCCACTCTCTTCTGGCTTGTAGAGTTTCTGCCGAGAGATCAGCTGTTAGTCTGATGGGCTTCCCTTTGTGGGTAACCCGAGCTTTCTCTCTGGCTGCCCTTAACATTTTTTCCTTCATTTCAACTTTGTTGAATCTGACAATTATGTGTCTTGGGGTTGCTCTTCTCGAGGAGTATCTTTGTGGCGTTCTCTGTATTTCCTGAATTTGAATGTTGGCCTGCCTTGCTAGATTGGGGAAGTTCTCCCGAATAATATCCTGCAGAGGGTTTTCCAACTTGGTTCCATTCTCCCCATCACTTTCAGGTACACCAATCAGACGTAGATGTGGTCTTTTCACATAGTCCCATATTTCTTGGAGGCTTTGTTCATTTCTTTTTATTGTTTTTTCTCTAAACTTCTCTTCTTGCTTCATTTCATTCATTTCGTCTTCCTTCACTGATACTCTTTCTTCCAGTTGATTGCATCGGCTACTGAGGCTTATGCATTCGTCACGTAGTTCTCCTGGCGTGGTTTTCAGGTCCATCAGGTCCTTTAAGGACTTGTCTGCATTGATTATTCTAGTTATCCATTCATCTAATTTTTTTTCAAGGTTTTTAACTTCTTTGCCATTGGTTTGAACTTCCTCCTTTAGCTTGGAGTAGTTTGATCTTCTGAAGCCTTCTTCTCTCAAATCGTCAAAGTCATTCTCCATCCAGCTTTGTTCCGTTGCTGGTGAGGAGCTGCATTCCTTTGGAGGAGGAGAGGCACTCTGATTTTTAGAGTTTCTGGTATTTCTGCTCTGTTTTTTCCCCATCTTTGTGGTTTTATCTACCTTTGGTCTTTGATGATGGTGACGTACAGATGGGTTTTTGGTGTGGATGTCCTTTCTGTTTGTTAGTTTTCCTTCTAACAGTTAGGACCCTCAGCTGCAGGTTTGTTGGAGTTTTCTGGAGGTCCACTCCAGACCCTGTTTGCCTGGGTATCAGCAGCGGTGGCTGCAGATCAGCGGATATTAGTGAACCGCAAATGCTGCTGCCTGATCGTTCCTCTGGAAGTTTTGTCTCAGAGGAGTACCTGGGTGTGTGAGGTGTCAGTCCGCCCCTACTGGGGGGTGCCTCCCAATTAGGCTACTCGGGGGTCAGGTACCCACTTGAGGAGACAGTCTGCCCGTTCTCAGATCTCAAGCTGCGTGCAGGGAGAACCACTACTCTCTTCAAAGCTGTCAGACAGGGACATTTAAGTCTGCAGAGGTTACTGCCGCCTTCTGTTTGTCTGTGCCCTGCCCCCAGAGGTGAAGCCTACAGAGGCAGGCAGGCCTCCTTGAGCTGTGGTGGGCTCCACCCAGTTCGAGCTTCCCGGCCGCTTTGTTTACCTACTCAAGCCTTGGCAATGGTGGGCGCCCCTCCCCCAGGCTCACTGCCGCCTTGCAGTTTGATCTCAGACTGCTGTGCTAGCAATGAGAGAGGCTCCAGGGGCATAGGACCCTCCGAGCCCGGTGTGTGATATAATCTGGTGTGCCGTTTGTTAAGCCTGTTGGAAAAGCGCAGTATTAGGGTGGGAGTGACCCAATTTTCCAGGTGCCATCTGTCACCCCTTTGTTTGACTAGGAAAGAGAATTCCCTGACCCATTGCACTTCCCGGGTGAGGCAATGCCTCACCCTGCTTCAGCTCATGCATGGTGCACTGCACCCACTGTCCTGCACCCACTGTCCAGCACTCCCTAGTGAGATGAACCCTGTACCTCAGTTGGAAATGCCAAAATCACCCGTCTTCTGCATTGCTCACACTGGGAGTTGTAGACTGGAGCTGTTCCTATTCGGCCATCTTGGCTCCACCCTATAGCTGGATTTTTAAAGCCCAATTATATATGGGCTTTATTTCATTAGAAGGATTTAATTTATTTATATTGATTGTGATTTTATTTATTCCTGACATTTTATACAATTTACAACTTTTTTCTTTTTTGCCATTTGTGAAATTAAGTTGCTTTCTTCTTTATTTCAGTAGCATAGAAATTATACCTCTGATTTTTCTTCTGCTCACAAATATTTCAATTTTAACCACCATTTTACATGTATTATTCTTCAACTCCTATAAATAAGCAGCATCTGTGTCTTGCCCTTGATCAATTTCACTCCCATTGGTCCTCTTTCTCCTACTACTGCCATATTGTATCATTCCAGGTGATAATAATCTGGAATTTACTTTATTTATTTTATTTCCAGTTCAAATCATTGTTTAGAATTAGTTGTAGGTATTTCTGATTTTTTTTTTTTTTTTCCACATAACCTCTGCGGCTACTGCCCTAGAACAAATCATCACCATCTCTGCTTGGCCCTTCCCTGTAACCTCTGACTGGCTTGCCTACTTCAGTTCTTTCCTTCTGTACCCCCTCCCTCATGTTATTTGCCACATAAAAGCAAGAGTTATCCTTTTTTAAAAAAATGCAAATTGTGGTAGCACACCCCTGTAACCCCAGCTACTCTGGAGGCTGAAGCAAGAGCATTGTTTGAACTCAACAGTTGGAGGCTGTAGTGTACTATGATCACCCCTGTAGATAATCCACTGCACTCTAGCCTGGGCAACACATCGAGACCCTGTCTCTTATAACAAAAAAAAAAAAACCTACAAGTCCAATTGTGCCTTAAAACTCTCTTTTGGCATGTCATCGCATTTAGAACAAAATCCTGCGTTCCTAAGTCCTTACCCTGCCTTCCTAGAAGGCTTTAATGATCTGTCCCCTCTGCCTTTGGTGTTCACTCTGCTTTGGCCACTGGGACCTTCTCAGTCCTCAATTCACCAAACACACTCCTGGATTAGGGTCTTTATACTTACTGTTCACTCTGCCTGAAATGTTCTTCCCTCAGATGAGCACTTGGCATGCTCACATACTTCTTTCAGGTCTTTGTTCAAATGTCACCTCCTCAGAGAGGCTTTTGCTGACAAACCTATTCAAAATTGCATCCTCTGGCCCCACTTTACACTCTAATTCCTTACACTGCTTTATTTTATTCTTCATAGTACTTATCATCATTATCAAGCATGTATCACTTATTGTTTATTTGCTTGCTTCTTGTCTGTTTTCCTTACAAGATTGAAATCTTCATGAAGGTAGGGACTCTGTTTTGTTCACTATGTTATCCTTAGTGCTAAAAACAGTGCCTGGCACCTAGTAGGCACTTTTTACTTAATATCTAAATCAATACATATATGAATGAGTGAATGAATGAATGAATGAGTGAATGAAAAACTCCAAGTCTACTCTCAACTTTGCAGGAATTCTTTTTCGAGTATCAGTCTGATCCTGTCTGGCTTCTATCTTTTGTGCTTTTATAGATTCCTTAAAATTCTAGTCTGCCAATAGTACCTATTCTGATTTAAGTAAAGTTATGAGATTCATTTTGTTTTTAATTTTTTCTGAGGAATATTTTTTTCTGAAGAGATAAGCAGATTGATGAGCTCATCTTGATCTTTGTCAGTATATTTAAATCATTGGTTAGGATAATTTTTAACATGTTAAACTTTAGGGCTCAGAGACTCTTTAACTTCCTCATGTTACAGATTTTAAAATGAGACTCAGAGAAGTGATTCAGTTTACCCAAATCCCCCTACAAAACACAGCTCTAAATAAATACTAATTCTGTGCCTCTGCAAAATATTGTGCAGGCTCACTTGCGAGGCATGCAGGAAACTCAACAACTGTCAGAAAGAAAGCTCGGAAATGGCAGAAGGATCTCAGAAATAATCTTAGCTGTAAGGACTGGCCTCAAAGACGGTGGCACCATTTGAATCATAGGGCTTAGCAAACTCAAGGTGATGTCTTGCCTCAAGAGACTTCAATCAGTTGATAGGTGAATTGCAGCAATGGAAATCTCCAGTGTGGTCATTTTTCATTAGGACAGGGGGAAGAATCTTGGTTCTGGGAAATCTACCACGTGATGAGGAATTAGAGATTCAAGAGACAAGATTTGGGCCCTGAATGAGGGGTTGGCAAGGGTTACACAGTTCAGTCATGATCGAATCAGGAGCTTATCTTAACCCAGAGATTCCTTTCTAGTGATAATCGCTCTTTCAACCAATAAAAATATGTTTAAATCTATCTATGACCTGGAAGCCCTCCCATCCCACCCCTTGCTACCTCCAGTTGTCCTGCTCTTCCATATTGAACCAATGTAAATCTTACATGTATTAATTAATGTATTATGTATCCCTAAATATATATAAAAGCAAGCTGTGGCCAGGCGTAGTGGGTCACACCCTGTAATCCCAGCACTTTAGGAGGCTGAGGCAGGTGGATCACCTGAGGTCAGGAATTTGAGACCAGCCTGGCCAACACAGTGAAACCCCGTCTCTACTAAAAACACAAAAATTAGCTGGGCGTGGTTGTGCACACCTATAAACCCAGCTACTCAGGAGGCTGAGGCAGGAGAATCACTTGAACCTGGGAAGCGAAGGCTGCAGTGAGCTGAGATCGCGCCACTGCACTCCAGCCTGGGAGACAGAGCAAGATTCCACCTCAAAGAAAAAAAAGAAAAGCATGCTGTAACCTTACCACCTTGGGCACATGTCACCAGGATCTCCTGAGGCTACATTCTTAACCATGGCAAAATAAACTTTCTAAATTGACTGAGACCTGTCTCAGATATTTTGGGTTCAGGAGTAGTATAGAACACTAGAAGTTATTCCTCCTATCTAACTGTAATTTTGTATCCTTTAATAAATCTCTCCCTATCTCCTCCTTCCCATCTTTCCCAGCCTCTAACAGCCCCCGTTCTATTAGGTTGGTGCAAAACCTGTTTTATTAGGTTTGCACCAACCCAAAATCAACTATTTTACACTTCCACAAATGAATGAGAGCATGCGATGTTTATTTAATTTTCTGTTACTGGCTTATTTCATGTAACATAATGTCCTTTCGTTCATCCATATTGCCGCAAATAACAGTATTTCATTCTTTTTTTATGGTAGAATAGTATTCTATTGTGTTTATATAACATATTTTCTTTATGCATTCACCTGTTGTTGGACACCTAGGTTGATTTTATGTTTTGGTTATTGCAAATAGTGTTGCAATAAACATGAGGGTGCAGATGTCTCTTTGATATACCAATTCCCTTTCCTTTGGGTAGGTGCCCAGTAGTGGGAATGCTAGATCAAATGGCAGTTCTATTTGGAGTGTTTTTAGGAATCTACATACCGTTCCCATAGTAGCTGTACTAGTTTACATTCCCATAAGCAGTGTATAAGAGTTTCCTTTTCTCCACATCTTCATCAGCATTTGCTATTTTTCACCTTTTTGATAATCACCATCCTTACTGGGATGAGATAATACCTCATTGTCGTTTTGATTTGCATTTCCCTAGTGATTAATGATGTTGAGGTTTTTTTCATACATTTATTGGAGATTTGTATGTCTTCTTTTGAAAAATGTTTGTTCATAGCTTGTAGGCCTTTTGCCTGAGATCAAGTGAGAAACGTCTGTTCAGATCACCTACCCATTTTACAATGAGATTGCTTCCTACGGTTGAGATATTTGAGTTCATTGTATATCCTGGATATTAATCCCCTGTCAGATGAATAGTTTGCAAATATTTTCTCTCATTCTGTAGGTTATCTTTTCAATCTGTTGATTGCTTCCTTGGCTGTGCAGAAGCTCTTTGGTTTGATATAACCCCATTTGTTTATTTTTGCTTTCATGGCCTATGTTTTTGAGGTCTTATTCACAAAATCTTTTCCCACACCAACGTCCTAAAGTGTTTCCTTTTTTTTTTTCTAGTAGTTTATAGTTTTGGATCTTACATTTAGGTCTTGGGTCCATTTTGAATTGATTTTTTTAATAGAGTGAGAGGTGGGGGTTTAGTTTCATTCTTCTGCATATGGACATCCAGTTTCCCCAGCACCATTTATTATAGAGACTATCCTTTCCCTAATGTATGTTCTTGGTGTCTTTGTCAAAAATCAATTGGCTGTAAATGTGAGGATTAATATCTGGGTTCTCTATTCTGTTACATTGGTCTATGTGTCTGTTTTTATGCCAGTACCATGCTGTTTTGCTACTACAGCTTTGTAGTATATTTTTATTCTTTTTGCTCAGGATTGCTTTGGCTCTTCAGGGTCTTTTGTGGTTCCATACAAATTTTAAGGCTTATTTGTTCAGCCAGGCCTAGCGGCTCACACCTGTAATCAATCCCAGCACTTTAGGAGGCCAGCGTGGGAGGATCAGTTGAGCCCTGGAATTCAATACCAGCTTGAGCAACATAGTGAGACCCTGTCTCTACAAAAAGAAGAAGAAGGAGGAGGAGGAGGAATAGAAGGAGAAGAAGGAAGAAAGAAAAAAAAGAAAAAGAATTTCTTCTAATCCTATGAAGAACATCATTGGCATTTTGATATTAAATCCATAGATCACTTGGGGTAGTAATAAGCAGCATGTTAAGTGTGTACCTTTTTGTTTGTTTGTTTGTTTGTTTTTCTGAGACGGGGTCTCACTTTGTCACCCAGGCTGGAGTGCAGCAGCATGATCTGAGCTCACTGCAGTCTTGACCTCCTGGGTTCAAACGTCCTCCAACCTCAGCCTCCTGAGTAGCTGGGACTATAGGCACACATCACCACACCTGGCTAATGTTTTTCTTTTTTTTTCTTTTTTTTTTTTTTTCCTGTGATGGAGTCTGTCTCACTTTGTTGCCTAAGCTGGAGTGCAATGGCATGACCTCAGCTCACTGCAAACTCCACCTCCTGGGCTCAAGCCATCCTCCCTCCTCAGCCTCCCAAGTAGCTAGAACTACAGGCATGCACCACCATGCCTGGCCAATTTTTGTATTTTTAGTAGAGATGGGGTTTCACCATGTTGCCCAGGCTGGTCTCAACTGGGCTCAAGTGATCCTCGGCCTCCCAAAGTGCTGGGATTATAGACACAAGCCACTGCACCTGGCATGATTTTTTTTTTTAAACAAGAGAAAATTATCTTTAAAATTAACAGTTAAGGTGAAGTTTAAAAGAGTATTTGTCATCCTAATAATGCTTCTTGGTGTTTTTCTTCAATAGGAGCCTTTCTTGTCCTCTCATTTTTCACATTAGATGAGATCTAAACACACATCAAAACTGGGATGCAGTAATAGGTGAGGAAAAACCAATGTCTTTCACTGTACCCAGGCATTAAATTTGATCCCTAGCATGCCTGGAAAGGGACAGTTTTCCTACTGACTTCCTGATATGTACCTAAACTGCATGGGATCTCATCCTTTTTTGTAAAGAGCAATAAAATATTTCATTTAATACAAGAACACCTTTCATCCAGCCTCATTCAATTTTCTAGGTTAATTTTTGCTTTCCATTCTTCCAGGATGCTTAAAATAAGAAGAGTAAATTCCAAAACCAGCTCTGTTCATACTAGAGCAAGGCTGAGCAAAGCATTGCTGACTACGTGCACAGTGTCAGGAGCCAAGCAAACTCTTCAGCCCTCATTTTCTGGGGACCAAAAGCAGCTTCTGTGTTCTTGCCCTAGGGCTCACCCTTAGTGCCTTCTAGGTAAGACTGCCTTGGCTTCCCTCTGCTAATCAGGGAAAAGGTGATTGGATAGAGTCATGTTTCACCTGAAGTATTTTGGCCCCTTATCTGAACCAGTCATTACATCTTAAGGCAGTTGTAACTAGGCTGCTATAATGATCTGACAAAAGACCTATTCCTCCAACATTACCAGTCATTAACTTTCCAAGACAAGATGTGACATGCCACAGCCCTCAGATAGTTCATCCAGAAGGAGTCTCTTCTTGACAAATATAATCCCTCTTCACCTTTGTTCATGACAATTTTATTTCTTCCACGGTGTCAAACTACCAATTTTTCCAAGTCAGCATTCCCTAGTTAGACCAAGGGACTTTTTCCACTTCAAAGGGAGGTGCTGCTATCTTTTCACTTTTGATTGTTCCTTACTTTAATCGTCTTTCCTAAAATAGTAGTTTTAAGTGGATATATATTTAAAGTAGCAAAGCCTGATGCCTTATTTTTGCTGCAAATTTTGCAGTTCTATGTATAAAAACTTGCTTTAATCATATGTCACTACGTCATGTTCAGTATGCACAAATAAAAACTTATTCTCCAGATATGATGTCAGAATGAATAAAAACTAACAATTGGGATATTTGCCTAAAAGTAAAAAAGAAGCAGGACACTTGGTGTATACTCTTTAGTTCTTAACTTTATTTGAGTAACTTTGCCTACCCTGAAAATTATAAAATAATGTCTTTTGTAAAAATAGGACCATTGCTTCAAAGTATCTCTCTTTTCCCCTTCAGTGGCTAAATCCATACAAAGCTATAAAGTTGATAATCAAAATTGAAAACAAGTAGTTCTCTCTAAAGTTAGAACTGCAGTTCCCTTGGAGGGTCTCATTAGATAGAATCCAGGTGCAACTCTCTGCAACATAGTGTTAGATTCTGAACAGAAGTAAAATAGAGCATGATTCCTTGACTTAAAATGTAACTAAGCAAAGAACACAAGAGTACAGAGGAAACTAAGCTGGTAGAGTCAGGGGAAAGATAAGTGACAGAGAGCCTGATGGCCTTGCAGTAGTCTGAGATGGCAACTTGAAGAATGGTCAAGGAAAGGCATTCAAAGTCTAGTTCCAGAACTGACTGAATGGAATCAAGAAAAGTGGACTGGGCAATTGCCAGATGCTGTCTGAAGGCATAAGGGTATGGACTCTTGTATTGGACCTGGATTCTCTCCAGATAACCTTCTCTAGATTATATAATCTCTGGATTTTAGAATGGCAAAGTTCAACGAGTTTATCCAGGGTTAGTTTAAGATGAAAAATAAAAGAAAAGAGAAAAAACTAAGAAACGTAGAAAGGGTAGTAACCTCAACATCTTGTTTAATAAAGAAGGAACTCTTATCTCTCTTGAAGTCATTCACATTGGGTCTACCGTAGGATTTCTCTGCATAGTAATGAGAGCTGAATGAACGAACTCTGAAGAATTAAAAGAGATCAAGTGCTAAGATCTCAGTGATGGGCGGTACCTAAAGAGGTGAGGCTAAGAGGAGAAAGAAAATCCCCTGGGGGAGATAGAGAGTAAGGGTCAATGAATATAGGGGAGTAAACTCATAAATAGCATTTAAAATTTATTATTAGCCTGTAGGTAACTTTTAATTCTTCAGTTACAGAGAAAACCCCCATTTTGAGGTTACAAGGATTTTCTTTTCTTAAAAGTGTTATTAGATGTGTCCTACTCCCCCTGTATATATAATTTTTAAAAATAATAGTCTGGATTATGAGCTGAAAAGTCTAGTTATTACCATGTAACTGTTTTATGCAATGTGATATAATTATTTACTAATTGTTCCATATTCTCTCATTTTTGTTTTTTCTCTCTTAATTTGATCTTCAGTACCTCCAAGGTTGTACCATATGCAATGCTTACAGGCCTCAACTCTGAAGGCTATTAGAGCTGAGTATAATTCTTAGCCTCTCTTATCTGTGTGGCCTTGATCTAATTACTAATCTAAGTTTCAGTTTCCTTGTGTATAAAATGGGAATAATAAGAATATCTTTCTCATAGGGTTGTGCCAAGGAATAAATAATGTAAAATGAATAAAATAATGTAACATAAGTAAAATATTTCCAGTTTGTGATAAACAGCACAGCATTTAAGTTTGCTGATAAAGGCTTGTCTACCTTATTTTCTCCTATCGTATGTGCACCTTTTGTTTTTGTTTGTTTTTTTGAGACAGGGTCTCGCTCTGTCACCCAGGCTGGAGTGCAGTGGCACATTCTTGGCTCACTGCAACCTCCGCCACCCTGGCTCAAGCCATCCTTCCACCTCAGCTTCACAAGTAGCTGGGACCACAGGTGCCCACCACCACACCCAGCTAATTTTTTGTATTTTTGGTAGAGATGGAGTTTCACCGTGTTGCCCAGGCTGGTCTTGAACTCCTGAGCTCAAACGATCAACCCACCTCAGCCTCCCAAAGCTCTGGGATTATAGGCATTACCACTGCACCCAGCCTATATGTGCCTTTAACTCCATTGTAGAATGCATATTGTGTAGAGTGTATTCTATTTTTTATTATCACATCATGTGAAAAGTTCAGGACTAATTTTAACAAAATTTGACGTTATGTTTATTATGGTCTGACTGAAACTAAAGATTCCAAAATGCAAATAATCCCTCAGGGCAGCTGAAACTAAAGCACAACATGTATGACTACTCTTAGAAGAGGCGTGCCATAAGCAACAAGACACAATGGAAGGGAATAAACAAGCAGTGGTTTCTGAGGGTCAGGGACTCCAAGTGGCAGTTAATTTGAATTGACTGCTTCCCACTTGGGTAACTCTAGGTATATACTCCAGAGGAATTAGTAGCAGGAAATTCATTCTTTTTTAATATAAATTTCTTTTGATAACAATGTATTCGTTATGAGGACATGAGCATGGGAAAGAAAAGCTAAGATGTTAAACAGATGAAAATATTTACATAACTTCAAATAGTTGCAAATACAAAGCCAAGGAGAAGTAGATTGAATTACATTTTCTAAAGAAACTGTCGGACCCAGCCACTGAGCTTTCTCATCATTCTCCATGGTCCCCAAACCTCTGCACCCTCCTGTTCCATCCTCTCCCCCAACCTGGATAAGCAATGTAAAAGCAATTTCAGTGTTTAAGTTGAACTGTGGTTAGTGTAGCTGAGTCACAGAATAAACTGGAAAGAGCCATTCAAGGAAAAAGAAAAACACGTACTATAATTGAAGACAAACATCACTCAGTCTATAACGCATTTTCAGGAATTCATGTATGTGTTTTTATATATAAGATATATAAATATAATATGCATAAATATAGTCACTGGGCAATCAGCAGAAAGTATTTAAGGTAACTTATATGCATTGCCAAAATCTGCGATATATCATATTTTATTTAGTGCATCCAAATACCCCAATTATTACTAAATGGAAGCAAGCTGATAAGCTGCAAGCTATCTCTAGAAAATTGGGCATGAGACTATGTTAGAAATCTTCCAGGAATAGAAGTAAACAGAAAACAACTAAGATTAGTTGCTTGCATATTTTTAGTTAATATTAAATTAAAAATGTACCGGCTGGGCACGGTGGCTCACGCCTGTAATCCCAGCACTTTGGGAGGCCGAGGCGGGCGGATCACGAGGTCAGGAGATCGAGACCATCTTGGCTAACACGGTGAAACCCCGTCTCTACTAAAAATACAAAAAATTAGCCGGGCGCGGTGGCGGGCGCCTGTAGTCCCAGCTACTCGGGAGGCTGAGGCAGGAGAATGGCGTGAACCTGGGAGGCGGAGCTTGCAGTGAGCCGAGATTGTGCCGCTGCAATCCGGCCTGGGCTAAAGAGCGGGACTCCGTCTCAAAAAAAAAAAAAAATGTACCATGTGGTTTTCAAACCTTTGATTTAAGATAATAAACAAAATTTTTGTTTTAAATGTGAAGAGTACCTCCTCCGAAGAATTCCTAAAATAAAACAGAATGCTTAATTACATAAATAACTGTGATAAAGCTGTGTTTCATTGTTATATTTGTCTGGCAATAAATGAGGGATTTCAGTCTTTCATTTGACATCTTTTAGAAGTACTAAATTTACCAAATAAAGTAATCAATCATTTTTATTTTCTTATATACTTTCAGAAAGTAAACAAACTGGTGGTTTTATTAACATTTATTAACCTTATTGTCATGTTACAGATTTAATATTAAATATATTGCTTATGTGTTGTGAAGATTTGAAAAATATATTCTAAATGGAAAGAAATAGGCTATTTCTTGAAAAACAGAAGAAATACAAAACTAAAAAATATAAATGTTCAGTTCTACTAGGATTTTAATATATACCCCAAAAAGCATGTGGTGGAAACTTAGTACCTGATGCAACAGTGTTGGGAGATGGGACCTAATGGGAGGTGTTATGGGAGGTGTGGGACTCTGTCATAGCAGCACAAAACAAACTGAGACAACTTGCCATAAAATGTAAGCATTTTTTTTCAGAGAGGGAGAGAAAACAAAACAAAACAGAACAAAACATTTTTCTCCTTCAATCAGAGTTTTAAAAAAAAATTAGTGGCCGGGTGTGGTGGTTCACGCCTGTAATCCCAGCACTTTGGGAGTCCGAGGCGGGTGGATCACGAGGTCAGGAGATTGAGACCATCCTGGCCAACATGGTGAAACCCTGTCTCTACTAAAAATACAAAAATTAGCTGGTCATGGTGGTGCGTGCTTGTAATCCCTACTTGGGAGGCTGAGGCAGGAGAAACGCTTGAACCCGGGAGGTGGAGGCTGCAGTGAGCTGAGATTGCACCACTGCACTCCAACCTGGCGATAGAGTGAGACTCTGTCTCAAAAAAGAAAAAAAAAATTAGTGACTTGGGGCTGACAATGGGAAGCATAACAGCGACAATGGCAGATTTAGTTGTTTGATATTGTTTCTGTAAGACTTAACACAGCATGTGTGAGATATTGTCCTGGCCCTCAGCTCTACTGCACTCTAAGGCACATGTAGGCATGCAGTGGTAGACAGTTCTGGTGCCATGTGATCGAAGATTTAAAATGCCAGGATACAGAGATTGCCCATAATTTGGTAAGCAGTGAAGAACAAATGAAAATTATAGGGAAAAGAGGGGCTTATGCTTAGGAAAATAAATTCTAATGAAAGACTCCAAATAATTTATCTAGTGTGAAAAACTGGTAACTAAATGAATTTGAAATGAAGGCTTTGAAAGACAGCGTCTAACTCAGACATGGACTAATAATCATGTAATCGATAAAGGACCTCACAAATGGGATCCTAACAGGTATGTCAGAGATTTTTTAGATGCAAGTAAAATCTTACGTAGAGGAAAGCTGAGGTTGTGGGAAACCTGGTCAGTAGTTTTCAAACATTTTTATTTTAATAGTAAGTATTTAAATCAAAAAATAACAATAAAAAAGAAATGAATATATGCAATATCTTGTTAAGACCAGTGAGAAACATCTCACTGGGTGCTTCTCATAGAGACAAGGGCACCCAACAAGTTTCAGTATGGCCCCACAGCTTTGGCTTCTCTGCATTTTTGTTTGTTTGTGTTTTTTTTAAGGAGACCAGGCCTCAATCTGTCACCAAGGCTGGAGTGCAGAGACATGATCATAGCTCACTGCAACCTGGAACTCATGGGCTCAAGCAATTCTCCCGCCTCAGACTCCCGAGTAGCTGGGACTATAGGCATGTGCCATCACACCCAGCTAATTTCTCTGCATAACTTTAGGGCACTGCCCAACTCAAGTAATGAGGGCTAAAAAGATGACTTCTCCCGGTACTCTATATACCCTTGTCAATGATAAACCAGGCTGGCCTTTTCAAAGATGCATCCTTAGATCTTTGCAAATTTCCAAATTACTCAATACCACCAAAGTATATAATTATTCTCCGCTACTCTAATATAGAATATTATAATTTTATCAGAGCAACTACACATACTATTAGTCAAAAACTACAAAAACATCATGAAATGGTAATGCTAGGTAATTCTTTAGGCTCACTTGTTACCTACAATACTTTTACCTTCACATCAACCTTGCATAATAATGTAACTGTTTAGTCTTTTTTTAATGCACGGATTTTTTTGGTTCAATAAATAAATTTTTCCCAGCTTTACTGAGGTATAGTTGGCAAGTAGAAATTGCATATATTAAGGGTGTATAATATGATGTTGTGATATATGTATATATTGTAAAATGGTTACCATATCAACCTAATAAACATATCTATTGCGTCACAGTTATCTCTTTGTGTGTACGATGCAAATATTTGAGATCTTCTCTCTTAGCAAATTTTAAGTATACAATGCATTATTATTAATTATAGTCACCGTGCCATACATTAGGGCTCCAGAACTTGCTAATCTTATAGCTGCAAGTTTATACTCTTTAACCAACATCTTCCCATTTCTCCTTTCCCCTAACCACTGGTAACCAACCTTCTACTCTCTGTTTCCATGAATGTGACTTTTTTAGATTTCACATATAAGTGAGATTATGCAGTGCTTGTCTTTCCGTGTGTGGCTTACTATAATGTCTTCCAGGTTCCTCAATGCTGTCATAAATGTCAGAATTTCCTTTTTTTAAAGGGTAAATAATATCCATTGTGTGTGTGTGTGTGTTTTGTGTGTGTGTGTGGATCACATTTTCTTTATTAATTGATCAGTTGATGGACACTTAGATTGATTCCATATCCTTGCTATTGTGAATAGTTCTGCAGTGAATGTGGTAGTGCAGCTATATCTTCAACATATCAATTTTATTTTTCTTTGGATATATATATTCAGTAGTGAGATTGCTGGATCATACAATAGTTCTATTTTTAATTTTTTGAAAAACCTCCATACTGTTTTCCATAATAGCTGTACTAATTACATTTCCACTAACTGTGTATGAGACTTTTCTTTTCTCTACACCCTAACCAACACTTGTTATCTTTCAATTTTTTGCTAATAGTCATCATAACAGGTGCGAGGTGGTATCTCATTGTGGTTTTGATTTGCATTTGCCTGATAATTTAAGATATTGAGCACCTTTTCATATACCTCTTGGTCATTTTTATGTCTTCTTTGGAAAAATGTACATTCAGATCTTTTGCCCACTTTAATTTTATTTTTAATTTTTAGCTTGTTTGTTTTTTTTTGAGAGGGTCTTGTCTGTCAGCCAGGCTTTAGTGTTGTGGTGTGTCACTGCAGCTTCAAATGCCTGGGCTCAAGCAATCTGCCTGCCTCAGCCTCCTGAGTAGCTAAGACTACAGGCACATAGCACCATGCCCAGATAATTTTTTTAACTTTTGGTAGATACAGGATCACACTATGTTGCCCAGGCTGGTTTTGAACTCTCAGCCTCAAGCAATCCTCCCTCCTCAGCCTCCTAAAATGTTTGCATTATGGGCATGAGACACTCTGCCCATTTTTAACTCAGGTTCTTTGTTTTTTCTGCTATTAAGTTGTGTGAGTTCCTCATATGTTTTGGATATTAATTCTTTTTATGGCTATGTGGCTTGCAAATATTTTCTCCCATTCCATAGGTTCCTTTTTCATTTTGTTGATTGTTTCCTATGCTGTGCAGAAACTCTCTAGTTTGATGTAATCCCATTCATTTATTTTTGCTTTTGTTGCCTGTGCTTTAGGTGGCATATCCAAGAAATCATTGTTAAGTCCAATGTCATGGAGCTTTTCACCTGTGTTTTCTTCTAGGAGTCTTAATAGTTTCAGATCTTATATTTAAATCTTTAATCCATCTTGAGTTGATTTTGTGTATGGTGTAAGATAAGGATCTGATTGATTGATTTTCTTGTTTTTGCATCAGCATATCCAGTTTTCCTAATACCATTTATTAACGAGACTATTCTTTCTCATCATTGTGTATTCTTGGAGTCTTTGTCAAAGATTAGTTGACCATATATTAGACAGAGTCTTTTGCATAGTCTTTTCTGTAATCTCATTTTTGGTTTAATGCTGGATTTAGTATTTCACTTCAAAGTGCACATAAGCATAATAGAAACCAAACAATCCACAATTTTATTCCCAACAGTAGAAATTATCATGGAAACATGGTAAATGGTTTCACAAAGTTCATATTTTCAATTCTTTATGTTCTTTTAAGGTTTGATAAATTCTTAATTTTTGATGAAATTCTTGAATCAATAAAATATTAAATTTGAAGAAAAAGGCTGTCCATGATAAAGCGAGCACATGCACGCACGCATGCACACACACACACACACACACAAAAACAGACATACAGATACGCAAACACTAACAACCACAAATAAAGACTTTCTCTAAGGAACTCAACATGCTTCACAGATGATTCTTTATCATTCATATTAATCAAGGACAGATGATCTTCATTTTAGTTAATTGATTTAATTTTCTACACAGCCAAATTTTTTGCTGACCCTCACTGCTACATAATTTAAGCTTTGTGTCCTCTTCATCCCTTTGCATCATCTTCTGAGAGGACAATTAGTAAATAATAAAAAACACAAAATTGGACAACAGATCTAGATAGGGCACAAAATAAACTCTCAATGGTTCATAACCTGTGTAATCAATAGGTGACTGTGCTATTTAATCTCATAATTCTTTTGTGAGCTAGAATGGGAATATGTAGTTTGCTAATAAGGAAACAGGCAAAGAGAATATATTCACTATGCTAATTCCACATGATTTATCCAATGTCACCCTGAGCTAACGCCCAGTATAGAATTGAGTGATTATTGAGATAATCCAAACAGGGCATTGGATTACTAAAGAAGCACATGGATCTCCTCCTCAGAAAATTTAAAAATATGATTGGTGCTCATGTTGGCTTTGCATAGAGATAATTTTTTTCAAAAGATCTGATTATTAACTTTAGGAAAAATAACTCCTTTTAAAATAGCATTAGGTATTTCAATTCAAATTCAAAAAATGTGTTGTTTTTTGTCTATTAGACTCAGTGCTGGATAGGTGCTGAAGGCAATAACATAGAGACTTTACCTTCAAGGGACTTTACATCTAGGAGAGAGTACAAAATGTATGGAAATAGGTATAAAATACATATAGCAATGCTAGTGCTTCAAGAGAGGTGCAAAGAGAAGGGAGTGGTTGTGTTCACCTTGGCACCTGATAAAGGAGAAGGCAGTGAGTAGGGGTGAATCAAGACTCGGTATGAGTTCATCATTACTGAAGTTATATAATGGGCACATGGGGGTTCGTTGTGCAATTTTGTTCATGTCTTTATATATTTAATTTTTTCATAATAGAAAATGTTTCTTAAAAGGGGCTTCATGAAAGAAGTGGCATTTGAGATAGTCCTTGACAAAAGAGCACTCTTTTGATAAGCCGAGGTAACTTCTATAATAAGCAGCAGTCCTATATCTTACGTATCACAAATATAAAGCTTTTAAAATGTAATGTTAAAATGTTCAACACTTTAAGAAAGGAAAAGAAAAAAAGAGGCCAGGCATGGTGGCTCATGTCTGCAATCCTAGCACTTTGGGAGGCCAAGGTAAGAGGATTGCTTGAGGCCAGGAGTTCAAGAACAACTTGGCCAACACAGCGAGATTTTGTCTCTTAAAAAGAAAGAAAGCAAGAAAAAAAGAGTCCAGGTAGATGTGTAGTTGAAAATGGCCTAGGCTGTTCATGTTTAATGCTGTGATGCTTAGCTGGCACATAAAGCATCTATTGAGGTATAGGAGAATGAAATGGAGCTAAGAATTATTTTTGTTATTGTTGTTTGATGATATTGGATGTTAAATTGTGACATTTAAAATTATTACAGCAGTTAATAGCCTAGCCATCAGTGACTAGCTTGACTTGATTAGAGCTTTGATTATGGGGGAAAGAAAGAGACTGAAGTGAAGCCGATCTGAATTCAAATTCCAGTTAGGAAGATGTTACAGAGTTCAGGAGGGGTTATGCAATGCGGAAATAACGATGACAATAGAAAAGAAAAAGAGAGGACAGAAAAGAGAAGGGCTGTAGAGGGAGAATATTACAACAATTGATTGAATTGTGAGGAGAGAAAGGGAGGACAGAAAAGAATCAAAGATAAATTCAAGGTTACGTTTCCAGTCTGGGCGCACAGAAGTAGAGATGTCAGGGTCCAGATTAGTAAAGACAAGGTAGGTTTACTCATAACTGGTCTGAAGGGTGAGGAAAAGGACACCTAGATAGAGGTGACCAAATGACAGGAAAATACTATCCCGCTGAAGGAGGAATAAGAGATCTAAGGTACAACCTAAGGACCAAGTTAATAAAATTGTATTGTGTTAGGGATTTTTGTTAAATAACTAGATTTTAGCTGTTATTGTCACAAAAAGAAGTAACTATGTGAGATTATAGATACGTTAATCTGCTTCACTGTAATAGCCATTGCATTATCTATGTTTCTATAGTTATCTATATGTGTTCCACAACATCATGTTGCAAACCTCAAATATACACAATAACAGTATTTTAAAATTAAAAATAAATAAGAGAGAGGAAGAGAGAAGAAACTTCAGATTTACTCACATGGAACAGATCACCGAACATAAAATTGCTGAGCAGATGATTGAGTAAAGGAAATAAAGAGGACTGTAAACAAAATCTTGGAGAATTAAGGACTTGGCTTTATATGAGAAAAGAAAAAGAACAAAAGACAGAAGATAACTCAGACAATAATAATACTACTAACATCTTGTGTTTACTCAAGGTTGGCTAATGATAAACAATGCCAAATTTAAATAGTTTAAAATAATGAAAGTATATTTCTTATTCAAGCAACAGTCCAATGTGGATGTTCCTGGCTAGGTAGCTCTTCTCTCAGCAGCAATGCAGGGATTCAGATTCCTTCTACCTTGTAGTTCTGCCCTCCTCTACGTCCTTGAAGTTCTTTCTATTCAGTTAAAGGATACAGAAGCAAATGGGAGATCATGGTAGGAAGGCTTTATGGGTTAGCCCTGAAAGTGACGTGTATCATTTTGCCCACATACCATTAACCCAAATTCAGTCACCTGGCTGTACCAAAATGCAAGGCAAAACTAGTTAGAATCCATCATGTCTTATATTTGTATCACACAGCTTTTAGAGACCTCTCATATATGTTACTACATAATGCAATTTCATGAAAGGCCATAAAGCACAGTGGTTAAGGCAAGGCATGGTGGCTCACACCTGTGATGCCAGTGCTTTGGGATGCCAAGGCAGGAGAATTGCTTGAGGCCAGCAGCTCAAGATCAACCTGGGCAACATAGTGAGACTTCCTCTCCTTAAAACAGGTTAAAAATTAGCTGGGCATGGTGGTGTGCACCTGTAGTCCCAACTACTCAGGAGGCTGAGGTGGGAGGATCTCTTGAGCCAAGGAAGTTGAGGTTGCAGTGAACCATTATTGCATCACTGCACACCAGCCTGGGCAATAGAGCAGGCCTATAGAGCAATAAAAAATAATAACACAATTAAAAAGCACAGTGGCTAAGAGCATGCGCTCTGGAGTTAAAATCACTGAAATTTGTGTACTGGCTTCACTATAATATTTAGTAGCACAGGGATTACCTAGAGTAAACTAATGCACCTTTCTGTATCTCATTTGTAAAATTATGATAATAACAAAATCTAACCCATAGGGTTGGTAGGAAGTTAGTAAATGTTAATAAATATTAAATGATACTTATTAAGGAGTTAATAAATGTATAAATAGTTTATAAATAATAGTGCCTAGTATGTGTCTGGCATGCAGTAAGTACTCAGTAAAAATTAGCCATCAGTGTCACATTAGGACTGTAGCAATTTAATGGTGGAGTAAGCATTAAATAATGTGAAATGTAGAGAGTCAATAGTAGTGACTAGAGAAAAAGTCATCAATTTGTCCATTAAGTTACATGAACAACTGCAGAAAATTCTGCTTTGTTGCAGTTAACACCACCCAAATAAGAGACAAAAAGGCAAGATTCCCAACTACCATCAATTTTCAGTTCACATATTTAGAACTGCAGAATAAATGATCTTTGAGAAAAATCACAGGATATTGCAGTCAAGTTAAACAAGAAGGTTCAGATAGGGTCTTACTCTAAATGTCTTATATTGAAGTATGTAAACCATATTGTGGAGAAAGAGTGCTTATCAATTTAAGATTCACTTTCTATCCTTCCTTCTCTCAAGATGAAATCTTTTAGTAGGTCACAACTAGTGGATCTCAGTCAGTTAATTTTACCTCAGCAAGTAGTTGGCTGTAGTTCATATATACATTAATGTAAACATCAATATTGCCTATAGGGGTTTCTTGATTTTTGGAAGCTTCACTTTCTTCCTTATATTTTATTGCTCCCTCCCCAGGTCTGCCATATCATATTTCTGTTCTGTCACTCTCACGGTTTCTTGGTAAATGTCCAAATATCTTGCCTGTTTTTAAAAATTGTGTCTTAAAATTAAAACTTTTGTTGTGACATGGCTGTAGATTCACATGGAGTAAGAAATATTAAAGAGATTCCAGTATACCCTTTACCTACCCAGTTCCCCTCAGTGGTAGCATCTTAGGAATACAATATAGAACAATATCATAACCAGGATATAGACATTGATACAACCAAGATACAGAACACTTCCATAAACACAAAGATCCCTCTGTTTGCCCTTTTATAGCCACCCTTACTTCTCTCCCATTAACCCCTTCCTCAAGCCCTGGCAACCACTAATCTCTTCTCTAGTTTTATAATTTTGTCTTTTTAAGAATGTTATATAAATGGCCGGGCACCGTGGCTCGCGCCTGTAATCCCAACAGTTTAGGAGACCGAGGCAGGTGGATTACCTGAAGTCAGGAGTTTGAGACCAACCTGGCCTACATGGCAAAACCCCATCTCTACTAAAAATACAAAAACTAGCTGGATGTAGTGGCAAGCACCTGTAGTCCCTGCTATTGGAGAGACTGATGCAGGAGAATCGCTTGAACCTGGGAGGTGGAGGTTGCAGTGTGCTGAGATCGTGCCACTGCACCACAACACTCCACCCTGGGTGACAGAGTGAAACTCTGTCTCAATTTAAAAAAAAGTTATATAAATGTAATAAACAATGTGTAAATTTTTGGCATTTTTTTCCACTCAGTACAATTCTGTGGTGATTACAGTAGGTTGTGTGTATCAATACTTTCTTTTTATTGCTGAGTAATATTTCATGGTATGTATGTACCAGTTTGTTTTTATCACATAGACCTGTTGAAGGATATCTGGGTTATTTCCGGTTTTTGGCTATTAGAAACAAAGCTACCAAAAATATCAAAGTACAGGTTTTTGTGTAAACTCATGTCTTCATTTCTCTAGAATAAATGCCCAAGAGTGAAATTGTTGGGCTGGAAAGTGTTTGCATGTTTAGTTTTTAAAGAAACTGTTCACGCCTGTAATCCCAGCACTTTGGGAGGCCGAGGCGGGCGGATCACGAGGTCAGGAGATCGAGACCATCCTGGCTAACACGGTGAAACCCCGTCTCTACTAAAAATACAAAAAATTAGCCGGGCGTGGTGGCGGGCGCCTGTAGTCCCAGCTACTCGGGAGGCTGAGGCAGGAGAATGGCGTGAACCCAGGAGGCGGAGCTTGCAGTGAGCCGAGATCGCGCCACTGCACTCCAGCCTGGGGGACAGAGCGAGACTCCGTCTCAAAAAAAAAAAAAAAAAAAAGAAACTGTTAAACTATTTCCAGAGTAGCTGTACCATTTTTAATTCCCACCAGTGGTGTATGAGTGATACAATTCCTCCTCATTCTTGCCAATATTTGGTGTTGTCACTATTTTCTTTTAAGTCATTCTGTTAGGTGCTTAGTGTTAGCGCATTGTGATTTTTGGCATTTCTCTAATGACTAATGATGTCGAGCATCTTATTTTTATCTGCCCATCTGTATATCTTCTTTGGTGAAATGTCTCTTCATAATTTTTGCCTATCCCATGTTTTAATTGGATTCCTTGCTTTAAAAAATTTTTTAACATTTTTATTTTTAAAATAGAGATGGGGTCTTCTCATGTTGCCCAGGCTGGTCTCAAACTCCAGGGGTTAAGAAATCCTTCCACCTCTTTTGCTGTGCAGAAGCTCTTTAGTTTAATTAGATCCCATTTGTCAATTTTGGCTTTTGTTGCCATTGCTTTTGGTGTTTTAGACATGAAGTCCTTGCCCATGCCTATGTCCTGAATGGTAATGCCTAGGTTTTCTTCTAGGGTTTTTATGGTTTTAGGTCTAACATTTAAGTCTTTAATCCATCTTGAATTAATTTTTGTATAAGGTGTAAGGAAGGGATCCAGTTTCAGCTTTCTACATATGGCTAGCCAGTTTTCCCAGCACCATTTATTAAATAGGGAATCCTTTCCTCATTTCTTGTTTTTGTCAGGTTTGTCAAAAATCAGATAGTTGTAGATATGCGGTGTTATTTCTGAGGGCTCTGTTCTGTTCCATTGATCTATATCTCTGTTTTGGTACCAGTACCATGCTGTTTTGGTTACTGTAGCCTTGTAGTATAGTTTGAAGTCAGGTAGCGTGATGCCTCCAGCTTTGTTCTTTTGGCTTAGGATTGACTTGGTGATGCGGGCTCTTTTTTGGTTCCATATGAACTTTAAAGTAGTTTTTTCCAATTCTGTGAAGAAAGTCATTGGTAGCTTGATGGGGATGGCATTGAATCTGTAAATTACCTTGGGCGGTATGGCCATTTTCACGATATTGATTCTTCCTACCCATGAGCATGGAATGTTCTTCCATTTGTTTGTATCCTCTTTTATTTCATTGAGCAGTGGTTTGTAGTTCTCCTTGAAGAGGTCCTTCACGTCCCTTGTAAGTTGGATTCCTAGGTATTTTATTCTCTTTGAAGCAATTGTGAATGGGAGTTCACTCATCATTTGGCTCTCTGTTTGTCTGTTATTGGTGTATAAGAATGCTTGTGATTTTTGTACACTAATTTTGTATCCTGAGACTTTGCTGAAGTTGCTTATCAGCTTAAAGATATTTTGGGCTGAGACAGTGGCGTTTTCTAGATATACAATCATGTCATCTGCAAACAGGCACAATTTGACTTCCTCTTTTCCTAATTGAATACCCTTTATTTCCTTCTCCTACCTAATTGCCCTGGCCAGAACTTCCAACACTATGTTGAATAGGAGTGGTGAGAGAGGGCATCCCTGTCTTGTGCCAGTTTTCAAAGGGAATGCTTCCAGTTTTTGCCCATTCAGTATGATATTGGCTGTGGGTTTGTCATAGATAGCTCTTATTATTTTGAGATACATCCCATCAACACCTAATTCATTGAGAGTTTTTAGCATGAAGTGTTGTTGAATTTTGTCAAAGGCCTTTTCTGCATCTATTGAGATAATCATGTGGTTTTTGTCTTTGGTTCTGTTTATATGCTGGATTACATTTATTGATTTGCGTACCATCAGAGTGAACAGGCAACCTACAAAATGGGAGAAAATTTTCACAACCTACTCATCTGACAAAGGGCTAATATCCAGAATCTACAATGAACTCAAACAAATTTACAAGAAAAAACAAACAACCCCATCAAAAAGTGGGCGAAGGACATGAACAGACACTTCTCAAAAGAAGACATTTATGCAGCCAAAAAACACATGAAAAAATGCTCACCATCAGTGGCCATCAGAGAAATGCAAATCAAAACCACAATGAGATACCATCTCACACCAGTTAGAATGGCAATCATTAAAAAGTCAGGAAACAACAGGTGCTGGAGAGGATGTGGAGAAATAGGAACACTTTTACACTGTTGGTGGGACTGTAAACTAGTTCAACCATTGTGGAAGACAGTGTGGCGATTCCTCAGGGATCTAGAACTAGAAATACCATTTGACCCAGCCATCCCATTACTGGGTATATACCCAAAGGACTATAAATCATTGCTGCTATAAAGACACATGCACATGTATGTTTATTGTGGCACTATTCACAATAGCAAAGACTTGGAACCAACCCAAATGTCCAACAATGACAGACTGGATTAAGAAAATGTGGCACATATACACCATGGAATACTATGCAGCCATAAAAAATGATGAGTTCATGTCCTTTGTAGGGACATGGATGAAGCTGGAAACCATCTTTCTCAGTAAACTATCGCAAGGACAAAAAACCAAACACTGCATGTTCTCACTCATAGGTGGGAATTGAACAATGAAAACACATGGACACAGGAAGAGGAACATCACACTCTGTGGACTGTTGTGGGGTGGGGGGAGGGGGGAGGGATAGCATTAGGAGATATACCTAATGCCAAATGACGAGTTAATGTGTGCAGCACACCAGCATGGCACATGTATACATATGTAACTAACCTGCACATTGTGCACATGTACCCTAAAACTTAAAGTATAATAATAATAAAACAAAATAAAATAAAATAAAAAAAGAAATCCTTCCACCTCATTCTTCCAAAGATCTGGGTTTACAGGTGTGTTCCACCATACCTGGCCGGATTCTTGGCTTTTTTACCATTGAATTTTAAGGGTTTTATACATTCTAGATCCACATTTTGTCAGGTACATGGTTTCAAATATTTTCTAAATAGGGTGTTTTGCTCGCCAAAGTTTTAAATTTTAATCAAATTGATTTAGCAACTTTTTTCTTTTACAGATCATGCTTTGGTGTCGAGTCTAAGAATTCTTTGCCTTGCCCTTAGGTTCCAGAGACTTTCTCCTATTTTTTTTTTTTTTTCTAAAAGCTTTATAGTCTTATGTTTTACATTTAATTTTGTGATCCATTTTGAATTACTTTTTGTATAATATATGAGACATAAATTCAGGTTGGTTTTTAAAATTTGTTCTTTTTGGGAGGAGGGGGTTGCCTATGGGTTTTCAATTGCTCCAGCCTTAAGGGCTTTTTTTCCTTCATTTAATTTATTTTGCACCTTTGACAAAAATCAGTTGGGCATATTTGTATGGGTCTATTTCTGGGTTTCAGGTTCTGCTTCATTGATCTATAAGACTATCTCTCCACCAATACCACATAGTCTTAATTTCTGTAGCTATATAATAAGCTTGGAAATCAAAGCTTATTTGATTCTTCCCACATTACTTTCTTTCAAAATCATTTTAGCTTTCTAGTTTCTTTTGCGTTTTTTTTTTTTTTTTTTTGTTAGTTTGTATATACATTTTAGAATAATCTCATCTATAGCCACAAGAAACCTTGCTGGGATTTTGATGAACAATCCCAGAGAGACAAAGATATGTGACCATTCAGACAGATAATTCATGTTTTATTTTGAATTTCACTGAGTTTCCTTAAAACAGCTATTTGTCTGACAGATAGCTGTTTTCAGGAGACTCAGTGAAATTCAAGATAACACAGAGAATGAATTCAGAATCCTAACAGATAAATTTAACAAACAGATTGAAATAATTAAAAAGAATCAAGCAGAAATTCTAGAGTTGAAAAATGCAATTCACATACTGAAGCATGCATCAGAATCTCTTAACAGCAGAACTGATCAAGCAGAAGAAAGAATTCGTGAGCTTTAAGACAGGCTATTTGAAAATATGCAGTCAGAGGAGACAAAAGAAAAAAGAATAAAAAACAATAACACATGCCTACAAGATCTAGAAAATAGTCTCAAGTGGACAAATCTAAGAGTTATTGGCCTTAAAGAGGAGGTAGAGAGAGATAAGGCTGGAAAGTTTACTCAAAAGGATAATAGTAGGGAACGTTCCAAACCTAGAGAAAGATATCAATATTCAAGTACAAGAATGCTGTGGAAGACCAAGCAGATTTAGCCCAAAGAAGACACCTCAAAACATTTAATATTCACACTTCCAAAGGTCAAGAATAAAGGAAGGATCCTAAAAGTATCAAGAGAAAAGAAACAAATAGCATACAGTAGAGCTTTAGTATTTCTGGCAGCAGACTTTTCAGTGAAAGCTTTACAGGCCAGGAGAGAGTGGCATGACATACTTAAAGTTCTAAGAAAAAAACTTTTACCCCAGAATAGTATATCCAGTGAAAATATCCTTCAAACATGAAGGAGAAATAAAGATTTTCTAAACAAAAGCTGAAGGATTTCATCAATACTAGATCTGTCCTACAAGAAATGCTAAGGGGAGGTTTTCAATCTGAAAAAAAAGGACATTAATTGGCAATAATAAATCTTCTGAAGGTACAGAACTCACCGGTAATAGTAAATACACAGAAAAACACAGAATCTTATAACAACAATTGTGGTGTATAAACTACTCATATGTTTAGTACAAAGATTAAAAGAGGAACCAATCAAAATAATGACTACACCAACTTTTCAAGACATAGATAATACAATAAGATATAGATAGAAACAACAGAAAGTTAAAAAGTGATAGGACAAACTTAAAGTATGGAGTTTTTATTAGTTTTTTCTTTGCTTGTTTGTTTATGCAATCAGTGTTAAGCTGTCATCAGTTTAAAGTCATGGATTATAACAAATTATTTGCAAGCCTCATGGTAGCCTCAAATAAAAACACATACAATAGATACACAAAAAATAAAAAGCAGGAAATTAAAAGATACCACCAGAGAAAATCACTTTAACTAAAACGAAGACAGGAAGGAAGAAGGAAGAGAAGACCCCAAAACACCAGAATACAAATTACAAAATGGCAAGAGTAAGTCCTTACTTATTAATAATAACATTGAATTTAAACAGACTAAACTCTCCTATCAGAAGACATAGAGTGGCTGAATAGATTTAAAAAAAAAAAAAGACCTGGGATCTGTTGCCTACAAGAAACACACTTCACCTACAAAGACACACACAGACCAAAAATAAAGGGATGAAAAAAGGTATTCTGTGCAAATGGAAACAAAACAAAAGCAGGAGTAGCTATATTTATATCAGACAAAATAGATTTCAAGACAAAAACTATAAAAACAGATGAAAATAGTCATTATGTAATGAAAATGGGTCAATTCAGCAAAAGGATATAACAACTATAAATATATATACATCCAACACTGGAGCACCCAGGTATATAAAGCAAATGTTATTAAAGCTAAAGTGAGAGATAGACCTCAATATAATCATAGCTGGTGACCTATACACCTCACTTTCAGCATTAAGCACATCAACCAGACAGAAGATCAACAAAGGAACACTGGGCTGAATGTGCACTATAGGCCAAATGGACCTAATAGATAATTATAGAACATTTTGTCCAATGGCTGCAGAATACACATTATTATTATTCTCAGCACAAAACAAGTTTAAAACATAAAAAAATGGAAATAATCAAGTATCTTCTCTAATCACAGTGTAATAAAACTAAAAATTAATAACAAGAGGAATTTTGGAAACTATACAAACACATGGAAATTAAATAACATGTTTCTGAATGACCAGTGGATCAATGAATTAAGAATTAAGAAGGAAATTGAAAAATTTCTTGAAGCAAATGATAATGGAAACGCAACATATCAAAACCTATGGGATATAGCAAAAGCACTACCAAGAGGGAAGTCTATAGCTATAGGAGCCTACATAAAAACATAGAGAAACTTCAAATAAACAACCTAATGATGCATCTTAATTAACTAGAAAAGCAAGAGCAAATCAAACCCCAAATTAATAGAAAAAAATAGACTAAAAATAAATGAAACTGAAATAAAACAAAAAAAGATCAAGACAATGAAAAGTTGGTTCTTTGTAAAGAGAAATGAAATTGACTAGCCTTTAGCCAAACTAAGAAAAAAGAGAAGTCTCAAATAAATAAAATTAGAGATGAAAAAGCACACATTACAACCAATACTGCAGCAGTTCAAATGATCATTAGAGGCTACCATGGGCAACTACATGCCAATAAACTGGAAAACCTAGAAGAAATGGATACATTCCTAGACACATACAACCAAGATTAAACCATGAAGAAATCCAAAACATGAAGAGACCAATAATAAGTAGCAAAATTGAAGCTATAATAAAATGTCTCCCAGCAAAGAAAAGTCCAGTACTCAATGGCTTCACTGGAATTTTACCAAACATTTAAAGAATACCTAATACCAATCCTACTCAAAAAAATGTTATAAAATAGAGGAAGGGGGAATAGTTCCAAACTTATTCTACAAGGCCAGTATTATTAAAAAGTAATTGAGGTTTTTGCCATTAAAAGTCAGGATAATACCCTGATACCAAAACTAGACAAAGAGACATCAATAGAGAAAACTACAGGCCAATATCTCCGACGAACATTAATGCAAAAATCCTCAACAAACTACTAGCAAACCAAATTCAACAACATATTAAAAAGATCATTCATCATGATCAATTGGGATTTATCCCAGGGATGCAAGGTTGGTTTACTTATGCAAATCGATCTGTGTGATACATTTTATCAACAGAATGGAGGACAAAAACCATATGATTATTTCAATGATACTGAAAAAGCATTTGGTAAAATTCAACAACTCTTAATGATAAAACTCCTCAAAAAGCTGAGTATAGAAGAAACATACCTCAACATAATAAAAGCCATATATGACAGACCCACAGCTAGTATCATACTTAATGGGGAAAAGCTGAAAGCCTTTCCTCCAAGACCTGGAATATGACAAGGATACCCACTTTCACCATTGTTATTCAACATAGTACTGGAAATCCTAGCTAGAGCAATCAGACAAGAGAAAAAATAATGGACATCTAAATTGGAAAGGAGGAAGTCAAATTATCCTTGATTGCAGATGATATGATCTTGTATTTGGAAAAAACCAAAGACTCCATAAGAAAACTGTTATAACTGAAAAACAAATTCAGTGAAATTGCATGATAAAAAATCAACATACAAAAATCTGTAGCATTTTTATATGCCAACAGTGAATAATCTGAAAAAAGAAATTTAAAAAGTAATCCCATTTACAATAGCTACAAATAAAATTAAATACCTAGCAATTAATGAAAAAAGTGAGCAATCTCTACAATAAAAACTATAAAACACCAATGAAACTAATTGAAGATAACACCAAAAAATGGAAAGATATTCCATGTTCATGGATTGGAATAAACATTATTGTTAAAATGTCCATACTTCCCAAAGCAATCTACAGATTCAATGCAATCCTTATAAAAATACCAAGGACATTCTTCACAAAAATAGAAAAAAAATCCTAAAATTTGTATGGAGCCACAAAAGACCCAGAATAGCCAAAGCTATCTTCAGCAAAAAGAATAAAACTGGAGGAATCACATTACCTGACTTCAAATTATACTACAGAGTGATAGTAATCAAAACAACATGGTACTAGCATAAAAACAAATAGACCAGTGGAACAGAATACAGAACCCAGAAACAAATCCATACTTCTACAGTGAATTCATTTTTGACAAAGGTGCCAAGAACATACATTGGGGAAAGAACAGTACCTTCAATAAATTGTACTGGGAAAACTACATATCTATAGGCAGAAGAATGAAGCTAGACCCCTACTTCTCATCATGCGCAAAAATCAAATCATAACAGATTAAAGACTTAAATCTAAGATGTCAAACTATGAAACTACTAAAAGAAAACATTGGCAAAATTCTTCAGGAAATTGGAGTAGGCAAAAATTTCTTGATTAATGCCCCTCAAGCACAAGCAACTAAAGCAAAAGTAGTTAAATGGTATCACATTGAGTTAAAAAGCTTCTTCCCAGCAAAGGAAACAATAAAAGAAAAAGTGAAGAGACATCCCACAGAATGGGAGAGAATATTTGGGACCCAAATGACGTCCCACAGAATGGGACCCAAACTATCCATTTGATAAGGGATTAATAACCAGAATATATAAGTATCTCAAACAATTCTACAGGAAAAAAATCCAAGAATCATATTTAAAAATGGGCAAAGCACCTGAGTAGACATTTCACAAAAGAAGACATAAAAATGACAAACAAGTATATAAAAAGATGGTTAACATCATTGATCATCAAAGAAATACAAATCAAAACTACAATGAGATGTTATCTCATCCCAGTTAGAATGACTTTTATCCAAAAGGCATGCAATAACAAATGTTGGTGAGGATGTGGAGAAAAGGAAACTCCTGTACACTGTTGGTGGGAATGTATTAATGTATTAGTACAACCTCTAAGGAGAACAGTTTGGAGATTCTTTAAAGAACTGAAAATGGAGCTACCATATGATCCAGCAATTGCACTACTTGGTGTATATCCAAAAGAAAGAAAATCAGTGTGTCAAAAAGATTTCTTCATTCCCCTGTTTGTTGTAGCAATATTTACAATAGCCAAGATTTGGAATCAACCTGTGTCCATCAATAGATGAATGAATAAAGCAAATGTGGTATATATACACAATGGAGTACTGTTCAGCCATAAAAAAGAATGAGATGCTATCATTTGTAACAACATGGATGGAACTGTAATACATCCTGTTAAGTGAAATATGACAGTCAAAGAAAGAAAAACTTTAATTGTTCTTACTTATTTGTGGGAGCTAAAAATTAAAACAATGGAACTCGTGGAGATGGAAAGTAGAATAATAGTTACCATAAGTTGAGAAGGGTAGTTAGGGGATAGAGGAAAGGGAGGACGGCTAATGGATACAAAAAAACAGTTAGAATGAATAAGATCTAGTATTTGATAGTACAACAGAGTGACTACAGTCAATAATAATTTATTGTACATTTTAAATGTAACTAAAAGAAAATAATTGGATTGTTTGTAACACAAATAAGAAATAAATGCCTAAGGTAATTTGTATCCCATTTACCCTGAAGTGATTTTATGCATTGCATGCCTATATCAAAGTATCTCATGTATCCCATAAATATATACACCTACCATGTACCCACAAAAATTAAAAGTAAAAATATTTTATATTTTAAAAAGACAGGAAAAAGAAAAATAAATGCAATTGATTTTTGTATGTTTATCATATATTCTGCAAACTTGCTGAACTCACTTATTAGTTCTAAGAGTATTTTATAAATTATTTGGGATTTCCTATGTGGATCATCATGCCACCTGCAAATATGGACAGTTTATTTCTTCCTTTTCAATCTGTATAATTTAATTTCCTTTTCTTGCTTTATTGCACAGGCTAGAGCTTTAAGTTCTAGGTTGAATAAGAATGGTAAGAGTGGACATCCTTGCCTTTTTCCTAATCTTAGAGGGGAAGCAGTCATTCTTTCATCATTAAGTATATTATTGTAAGTTTTTGGTAGTTGCTCTTTATCAAGTTAAGGAGATTCCCTTCTATTCCTACTTTTCTGATATTTTTTTCTCTCTCTCTGTGAATGTGAATGGGAGTTGAATTTTGCCAAAAGCCTTTTCTTTGTCAATTGATATGATCTTGTGATTTTCTTCTTTAGTCTGTTTAATAGCATTGATTTGACTGATTTTGAATATTGATTTTTAAATATTGAACCATCAGCTGGGCATGGTGGCTCATGCCTGTAATCCCAGCACTTTGGGAGGCCAAGGTGGGTGGATTGCTTGAGGTCAAGAGTTTAAGACCAGCCTGGCCAACACGGTGAAACTATGTCACTACTAAAAATACAAAAATTAGCTGGGCATGGTGGCAGGCGCCTATAATCCCAGCTACTTGGGAGGCTGAGGAAGGAGAACTGCTTGAACCTGGCAGGTGGATGTTGTGGTTAGCCGAATTGCACCACTGCACTCCGGCCTGGGAGACAGAGTAAGACCCAGTCAAAAAATTAAAAAAGTAAAATAAAATAAAAATTGAACCATCTTTGCATCCATTAATAAACTCCATTAGATCATGGTGGATAATGTATTTTGTATGTTGTTAAAATTTATTTACTAATATTTTGTTAAGGTTTTTTTCATCAATATTCATCAACAATTTTGGTCTGTAGTTTGTTGTTGCTGTTATTGTTTGTACTATCTTTGTCTAGTTTTGATATCATAAAATGAATTGGGAAATATTCTTTTCTATTTTCCTGGAACAGATTATATAAAATTAGTGTTAATTCTTCTTTAAATGTTTGGTACTATTCTCTAGTAAAACCATTTGAGCCTGGAGGATTCTTTTTCAGGAGTTCTAAGTTATCAATGTCGTGAATAGTTACAGGCCTATTCACATTTATTTAATATTGGGTGAGTTGTGATAGTTTGTGTTTATCAAGGAATTGTCAAATTTATGTGTGTTGTGTTCCCTTATTATCATTTTGATATCTTCTTCTGTAGTGATATCCCGTTTCATTTCTGATATTTGTCATTTGTGTCTTCTCTTCTTTTTTCTTTGCCAGTCTTGCTAGACATTTGTATATTTTATTGATCTTTTCACAGAACCAGTGATTTGCTTCATTGATTTTCTCTGTCGTTTTTCTGTTTTCAACTTCATTGATTTCTGCTATTATCCTTATTCTTTACTTCTTTCTGCTTGCTTTAAAATTATTTTGCTCTTGGCTTTTTAGTTATTGAAGTGAGAGCTTCTACTGTTGATTTGCCATTTCCTTTTTTCTTTTTTTTTGTGATGGAATTTCGCTCTTGTCACCCAGGCTGGAATACAGTGACGTGATCTCGGCTCACTGCAACCTCCACCCCCCGGGTTCAAGGGATTCTCCTGCCTCAGCCTCCTGAGTAGATGGGATTACAGGTGCCTGCCACCATGCCTGGCTAATTTTTTGTGTTTTTATTAGAGATGGGGTTTCATCGTGTTGGCCAGGCTGGTTTCAAACTCCTGACCTCAAGTGATCCACCTGCCTAGGCCTCCCAAAGTGTTGGAATTACAGGCATGAGCCACGGCACCTGGCCTCCTTTTTTAAGTTATACATTTACTGCATAAATTTCCCTCTAAGTCCTGCTTTAGCTGTGTTCCACAAATCTGATGTGTTATAATTTCATTTTCATTCAATGCATTTTTTAAAATCTTTGTAAGAAAATTCTAACATTTCTGTCATCTTGGTATTGGCATTTACTGGTTGTCTTTTTTATTCTGTTTGAGATCTTCCTTGCTCTTAGCATGAATAATTTTTAATTGCAGCCTGAACATTTATATATTATGTTATGAAACTCTGGATATTCTGTAAACTTTTTGTTTTAGCTGGCTTAATTTTTTTATAGTGCTCTGGCAGGGAAAGTGAGGGCATCACCTCACTACTTCCAGCTGGAGGTAAAAGGTCAAGTTCTCCACTCAAGCTGGGCATAGTGGCTCACGCCTGTAATCCTAGCACTTTATGAGGCCAAGGTAGGAGAATCACTTGAGCCCAAAAGATTGAGACCAACTTGGGCAATGTAATGAGACCCCTAACTCTACATAAAATCTTTTTTAATTAGCTGGGCATGGTCATTCATGCCTGCAGTCTCAGCTACTTGGGAGGCTTAGGTAGGTGGAAAGCTTGAGCCCAAGAGTGGGAGGCTGCAGTGAGCTATGATTGTACCATTGCACTTTGGCTTGGGCAACAGAGCAAGACCCTCTCAAAGAAAAAAAAAAGAAAAGAAAAGAAAAGAAAAAAAAAGAAAGAAAGAAAAGAAAAGAAAAAGAAAGAAAGAAAAGAAAAGTCCTCCACCCAACCTCTGTTGACACCTGAGCAGGAGAGACTCCTTGTCACTGATAGGCAAAGGTGGGAGTCCCAGCTCCCCAAGGTGGCCTCCACTGACACCCTTAAGGTGATAGTTTCATTACCGGGGATAATAATGAAAGTTTGGCTCTCCATTAGATTTCCTCTGGTGTAGTCCCAGCATAGAGGGGAAGGAATAAGTCATTACTGGCAGGTGGGGGTGAAAATCCAGGCTCTCCATTTTGTCTCTACTGACAGGATGGGGATGAATATGCTCATCACCTAACTGGTGGGATAATAGCTAGCTCCTTCCTTTCCTTTTCTAGTATCATCCAGGTGGGAATGTTAGGGATCCTTACTACAACCTTACAAGAGTGAAAATCTAGGCTCCCCACTTGGCCTTTACTGATGGAGGTGGGGGTGGGACCACAGTTTTGTGGGGTTCAGCTAGAGTAGAGTGATTATTACTTATGTAAGTTTTTAGTCTTGCTAAGTTATTCCTTTTCTGGTTCTTTGGTTAGAGATAGCAAGTTTTGTTGGATAATTATTTTTTGTCTGTGCCTATTAACATTTTCAAGTTTTCAGGTTCTTCAGCTCTAAGAATGGAATATATGAGGCAAGAAGAAAACCCAGGGAACTTAACCACTGTGGCATTCCTTAGGTCCTGTCATTTCTAGTCAGTCTGCCTTCTTCTCTCCACCTTCCAAAATCCTCTTATATTTTTCTCATCTATCATATTTATGGATTTTATTTGTACTTATTAGGAGAAATAGGGGAAAGTACTTCCACTCCATTTTCCAAGAAGTAGAAATCTCCTGCCTATTTTTTATATGGCACTATTGTAGCTATTTTTATATGGCAATATTATAATTTGTCATTTTCCCACTTTACCAAAGCCCCATAGGTTTGTTTTGTACCAATTTGGAAACTAGTATTCTATTAGATTAAAGTTTCAATTGGAAATTTTAAAACAAGGTCCTAACTAAATGAAAGTCTGGATCAACTTGGAAAGTTTTTCATTTTATTTTTTATTTTTTGAGATGGAGTCTCGCTCTGTCGCCCAGGCTGGAGTGCAGTGGCACCATCTCAGCTCACTGCAACCTCCGCCTCATGGGTTCAAGCAATTCTCTGCCTCAGCTTCCCGAGTAGATGGGATTACAGGTGCCCACCACCATGCCCAGCTAATTTTTGTATTTTTAGTAGAGACGGGATTTCACCATCTTGGCCAGGCTGGTCTTGAACTCCTGTCCTTGTGATCCACCCGCCTTGGCCTGCCAAAGTGCTGGGATCACTGGCGTGAGCCACCGCACCCAGCAGAATATTTTTTATACACACACACTGTATATATGTGCCCCGTGAACAAAGGACAAATTGTTCAGGAATCCATGGACAAGGTGATCATAAATAGACTACAAAGAAAACCCTGATAATTTTTAAAAATAAAAATTAAGGAGACCTTATTCTTCACTATAAAACAATACAATTTAAAATTAATAACAGAAGATTAAGCAAAAACAAGCACTCAAATACTTGGATACATGAAATCTCATAATCATTGAATTAAAATGATATCAAAAGTGCTGTTTTAAAACAAATATAAATATGCTGTTTTTAAATTTTTCTGCAGGTTTAAAGACTTTCATAAGAAGTTTCAAAAATTACACTGTGAGAATTTCATTAATTTGAATACTATCTCATTCTGCTGTCTTTGCTCTGCATTTGTGAAGGGAAGGCATTTCATGGATGACTTTGGCATTCATCATAATGAGAACAACTTCCATGGTGAATACTAACCGGAAGAATTGTGTGCTTTTTAATGGTTTGGAACATCACTCCTGGCAGCACCTTGGAGACTTATTTTTTAACTAATTTATGCTCACGGGGTCTGGACTTCAAGAGCATGTGTCCATTCAAACCACTTACACACTTTAATACAATCTCTATAATAGAAGTTATTCATGTGGTTATTTGAAGCCTGGTGGTATAATCCTCTCATATGATAGTGTACTTTTGTGAGTTAGAAGTCAACATTAAAAGGCTCACAGAGTTAATTTAGGTTCTGTCTGATTCATCACTCAGCTAGTCTTTGCAAACTACAGGATACTGTTGTTGGGGACAAGTGGGAAGAAAAGTGCCAGAACTCTACTTTTAGATATAATTAAAATCTTCAATCTGTAGGACTATCCTGCTCAGAATAATATGTACCCTTTGGTGGTAATTCAGGATTTTAGTGCTAAACCCAAAAGAACAGGGCAACTTGACTTTTTAAAAATTTTAGATATGAGAATAAACAGTAATGCTATGGAGAAATATTAACAGGTGAGCACCCTCTCAATTCAAAATAACACATTGTTACTAGTAGTGATTCAGGTAAATACATATTTTCCAGTTGGACTTCTAGTTTCATATGTGTTCCTTTACTTTGTCATTGTTAAAATGCACTTCTCAAATTTTTGATAGTTTCTGCCTCCTTCTCCTCAAATTTCTGTGGTATTTACCACATATTTTAAAATCTTGCATTTTTTTCCTTTCTGTTTTGACCAATAAGCCTCACTATACAATTAACAGTTTTTACGTGGTTGAATAAGAGAGGGATCAAGAATATCTTTTGAGAATCTAGAAACATGATCATCTTAAATCTTGCAAACAAAAATTATTCTCAGGGTATATAATTTTAAAAATTAGGTTTACAAGGCTCATTCAGCTTTTATTAGTCATTGCTTTAACTAATAATGTCCAGATAATAAAAGTTGATCCATGGACAGGTTAAATTTCTCACTTTTAAGTTTTATTTTTTGCTTGGTGTCATTCATCTAGTTTTTAGATAAATGTCTACATTCAATGTTTAAGAGCTCAGACCTAATGAATCACATCCTTAGAAGTGTTTTCCCTCTGGTAAAGTCCAATGAACTGTTGCAGTATTACTGCCTCGAGGAACAAATTTTTTTTAATTATACTTTAAGTTCCAGGGCACATGTGCACAATGTACAGGTTTGTTACATATGTATACATGTGCCATGTTGGTGTGCTGCACCCATTAACTCGTCATTTACATTAGGTATATCTCCTAATGCTATCCCTCTCCCCTCCCCCTACCCCATGACAGGCCCCAGTGTGTGATGTTCCCCTTCCTGTGTCCAAGTGTTCTCATTGGAACAAAAATTTTTTATCCTAATAATTAAAATAACTTGGGAATAGAATAGTTAAGTATTGGTGTGTCTACTAAGTTCATCTCCCAAGATGAGATAAGAAAGAAAGAATAAAAGTTCTTTGTTAAATTCCCTTTGTCAGTCTTCACAGATTGGAAAAAAAGAAAAGTGTACGTTGGAAAAGCTGATATTACATATTGTACAGACCACATATAATTTATTTATCTTTATGTCACAGGATTTAAATAGAGATAAGATACTGCAAATAAAATAATATCCAATCAAAATATTTGCCACATTTTCTAGTTAACCCTATCCCTTCCCATCCTTTCTAAACTCCTTTTCTGCTTTAACAGTATATCATCTAAAAAATACTGTTTTATGTACTCATGGTAGTATACCTTAAGTTAAATGTTTTGATTTCAGCTTCAAAGGAAAAAAAGAAAAGAAAAGAATTGAGCACTAGAATTTTGATAGTAGAACATATTTTCTTAAATTTCATTCCAATCCTATTTAGAATTAACAACATTTTATACAAGACTTACACTTCAAAAAATATATGTTTCAGGCAAAAAATGGCAGAGGTTCTTAATCCTGAGTTCTAATTTGATTGTACTGTGGTCTGAGAGACAATTTGTTGTGATTTCTATTCTTTTACATTTGCTGAGGAGTGCTTTACTTCCAATTATGTGGTCAATTTTAGAATAAGTGTGATGTGGTGCTGAGAAGAATGTATATTCTGTTGATTTGTGGTGGAGAGTTCTGTAGATGTCTATTAGGTCTGCTTGTTGCAGAGCTGAGTTCAAGTCCTGGATATCCTTGTTAACCTTCTGTCTCGTTGATGTGTCTAATAATCTCCCATTATTATTGTGTGGGAGTCCAATAGGCCTCTAAGGACTTGCTTTATGAATCTGGGTGCCCCTATATTGGGTGCATATATATTTAGGATAGTTAGCTCTTCTTGTAGCATTGATCCCTTTACCATTATGCACTGGCCTTCTTTGTCTCTTTTGATCTTTGTTGGTTTAAAGTCTGTTTCATCAGAGACTAGGATTGCAACCTCTGCTTTCTTTTCTTTCCATTTGCTTCGTAGATCTTCCTCCATCCCTTTATTTTGAGCCTATGTGTGTCTTTGCACATGAGATGGGTCTCCTGAATACAGCACACTGGTGGGTCTTGACTCTTTATCCAATTTGCCAGTCTGTGTCTCTTAGCAGGGGCATTTATCCCATTTACATTTAAGGTTAATATTGTTATGTGTGAATTTGATCCTGTCATTATGATGTTCACTGGTTATTTTGCCCATTAATTGATGCAGTTTCTTCATAGCATCGATGGTCTTTACTAATTGGCATGTTTTTGCAGTGGCTGGTACCGGTTGTTTCTTTCCACATTTAGTGCTTCCTTCAGGAGCTCTTGTAAGGTAGGCCTGGTGGTGACAAAGTCTCTCACTCTCAGCATTTCCTTGTCTGTAAAGGATTTTATTTCTCCTTCACTTAAGAAGCTTAGTTTGACTGGATATGAAATTCTGGGTTGAAAATTATTTTCTTTAAGAATGTTGAATTTTGGCACCCACTGTCTTCTGGCTTGTACGGTTTCTGCCGAGAGATCTGCTGTTAGTCTGTTGGGCTTCCCTTTGTGGGTAACTTGACCTTTCTTTCTGGCTGCCCTTAACACTTTTTCCTTCATTTCAACTTTGGTGAATCTGACAATTATGTCTCTTGGGGTTGCTCTTCTCGAGGAGTATCTTTGTGGCGTTCTCTGTATTTCCTGAATTTGAATGTTGGCCTACCTTGCTAGGTTGGGGAAGTTCTCCTGGATAATATCCAGTGCCACCCCCATCAAGCTACCAATGACTTTCTTCACAGAATTGGAAAAAACTGCTTTAAAGTTAATATGGAACCAAAAAAGAGCCCACATTGCCAAGACAATCCTAAGCCAAAAGAAGAAAGCTGGATGCATCATGCTACCTGACTTCAAACTATACTACAAGGCTATAATAACCAAAACAGCATGGTACCAGTACCAAAACAGCATGGTATTGGTACCAAAACAGAGAGATAGACCAATGGAACAGAACAGAGGCCTCAGAAATAATGCCACATAGCTACAACCATCTGAGCCTTGACAAACCTCACAAAAACAAGGAATGGGGAAAGGATTCCCTGTTTAATAAATGGTGCTAGGAAAACTGGCTAGCCATATGTAGAAAGCTGAAATCGGATCCCTTCCTTACACCTTATACAAAAATTAATTCAAGATGGATTAAAGACTTAAATGTTAGACCTAAAACCATAAAAACCCTAGAAGAAAACCTAGGCAATACCATTCAGGACATAGGCGTGGGCAAGGACTTCATGACTAAAACACCAAAAGCAATGGCAACAAAAGTCAAAATAGACAAATGGGATCTAATTAAACTAAAGAGCTTCTGCGCAGCAAAAGAAACTACCATCAGAATGAACAGGCAACCTACAGAATGGGAGAAAATTTTTGCAATCTACTCATCTGACAAAGGGCTAATATCCAGAATCTACAAAGAACTCAAACAAATTTACAAGAAAAAAAACAAACAACCCCATCAAAAAGTGGGCAAAGAATATGAACAGACACTTCTCAAAAGAAGACATCTATGCAGCCAACAGACACCTGAAAAAATGCTCATCATTGGTCATCAGAGAAATGCAATTCGAAACCACAATGAGATACCATCTCACACCAGTTAGAATGGCAATCATTAAAAAGTCAGGAAACAGATGCTGGAGAGGATGTGATAAAACAGGAACACTTTTACACTTTTGGTGGGAGTGTAAATTGGTTCAACCATTGTGGAAGACAGTATGGTGATTCCTCAAGGATCTTGAACTAGAATTACCATTTAACCCAGCCATCCCATTACTGGGTATATACCCAAAGGATTATAAATCATGCTACTATAAAGACACATGCACACGTATGTTTATTGTGGCACTATTCACAATAGCAAAGACTTGGAACCAACCCAAATGTCCAACAATGATAGACTGGATTAAGAAAATGTGGCACATATACACCATGGAATACTATGCAGCCATAAAAAAGGATGAGTTCATATCCTTTGTAGGGACATGGATGAAGCTGGAAACCATCATTCTCAGCAAACTATCACAGGGACAGAAAACCAAACACTGCATTTTCTCACTTATAGGTGGGAATTGAACAATAAGTTCACTTGGACACAGGGAGGGGAACATCACACACCGGAGCCTGTTGAGGGGTGGGGGTCTGGGGGAGAGATAGTATTAGGAGAAATACCTAGTGTAAATGACGAGTTGATGGGTGCAGCAAACCAACATGGTACATGTATACCTATGTATCAAACCTGCACGTTGTGCACATGTAGCCTAGAACTTAAAGTATAAAAATTTAAAAAATTTTTAAAAGCCCAGAGGTTTGTAGACATGATAAAAAATAAAAGGCATTCTGAGTCTGAAAGACTACCTTACATTAAAACATTTGATTAAGACTATAATGTATATTATATTTTATTGAGAGGAAAACTGTCCTCAAAATGACCCAGAACTACTAACCTTCCACACAAAAACTTTATTTTGCCAGTCTCTCTGTTTTTCTGCCCTAGTCACTACAATTGGGGTTGAATACTTGTTAAAACAACTAATCCATTCTTTCTCTTTAAACATATTTCCCTCCTCTTCCTTGAGTTAGCCAGAACTCACCTGTATTATGGTGTCTCTAGATCTGTGATTAGGAGCCTCTTGGCTTTTTCTGATTGTATTTTATTCCTGTATGCCTTTCACTGATCACCAAATTTTATATGTAAGCTAGATCTTTAAATATCCATAGGAAGTAAGAAAAAAGAACCCACAGAGTGTCCCAGAAAACAGATGAAATAGACTCATACCAAGACACGTCATTGTAAAATTTTAGTACAGTGGAGATAGTGTTTCAGAGAGAAAAAATAGGTCACATAAAAAGAATTAAAAATCAAAATTGTTGAATATTTGACACTGGAGTACAGGAAGTTCAAGGTCATTGGAAACATGCCTTTAAAATTCTGAGAGAAAATGACTTGCAACCAAACATTTTATACCAAGCCAAATTTTAAGCAAGTTTCAGAATACAATAAATAGGTTTTTGGCAGGAAATTTGTAAAAAAAATTTTTCCTTATTCCTTCTCTCAGGAAGCTCTTGGAGGCTAAGTTCTACCAAAATGAGGGAACAAACCAAGAAAGAGGAAGGCCTGGCAAACCAGAAGCAGTATTTTCAATCCAAGACGAGATGAAAGTAATAACCATGATGTTATGAAAGCAGATACTAGGATGAAAAATGCAGGCATAGAGGGTAACCCATACATATTGTAGCATGGCAGAAGACACTATGAGAAACACCATTAGGAACATAAAATTGGAATACCTGATGTGTTTGAACATTTTGAAAGGAGATTTAGATGATTGTGAGGAATTTGCATGGAATCAAATAAATACATGGAAAACTAAGCAAATAAGAAAAGATAATTACTAAATTCTAGACAGATAAATGTTAAGTCATAAAGGAAGAGCAATGATTTCCTTCCTGGCCCAGTTGAGACTAGTGTTTATATTAGTATAGGCACCCCAGCTCTCTTTTGGTAACTATTTCCACAGTGTATCTTTTTTTCCATCTTTTTACTTTCAACTTATTTGTCTTTGTGAAGTGTATCTCTTGTATACAGCTCATAGTTGGATTATGTTTTTTAAATCCATTCTGTCAATGTCTGCCTTTTGATTAGAGTGTTTAATCTATTTACATTTAATAGAATTTATTGCTGTCATTTGAATATTTGTTTTTATGTCTTTATTTGTTCCGCTATTCCTCCATTACTGCCTTTTTGTATGTTAATAGATATTTTCTAGTATACCATTTTAATTCACTTGTCATTTCTTTTACTTTTTTTGAGTTATTTCTTAGTTTGGATTAATGCCAAAACTTTTCTTCAGTTTAGCTCTGTTTCCTTCCCCTCCTTTATGCTGTTATTATCATATAAACTGCAACTTTAACCCATAAGCAGTTTTATAATTATTGCTTTATGCAGTTGTCTTTTAAGTCAGATAGGAGACAAAAAGAGATAGCAACAAATATAAATTTATACTGGTCTTTCATATTTACTTATATAGTTACCTTTATGTGAGTTCTTTATTTATTTGTGTGGTTTCAAGTTACTATCTAGTGTTGTTTCACTTCAGCCTGAAGTACTCTCTTTATATTTCTTGTAGTACATGTCTTTCAGTCATAAACTCTTGCAGTTGTTTATCTGAGAACATCTTAGTTTCCCTTTGATTTTTAAGGATAGTTTTGATGAACATAGAATTCTTTGATGACAATCCCTTGAAATGATGAGTCATTTTTATTTCAAGATTATCTTTTTTGGACCATGCACAGTGACTCACGCCTGCAATCCCAGCACTTTGGGAGGCCGAGGCGGGCGGATCACGAGGTCAGGAGATTGAGACCATCCTGGCTAACACAGTGAAACCCCGTCTCTACTAAAAATACAAAAAATTAGCCGGGCGTGGTGGCAGGTGCCTGTAGTCCCAGCTACTCGGGAATCTGAGGCAGGAGAATGGCGTGAACCAGGAGGCGGAGCTTGCAGTGAGCCGAGATCGCATCACTGCACTACAGCCTGGGTGACAGAGCGAGACTGGGTCTCAAAAAAAAAAATAAATAAATAAATAAAAAAGATTATCTTTTTTTCTTTGGCTTTTGACAATTTGGACTATGATATGTCTAAGTGTGCAATAATTTCAATTATTTTACTTGGAATTTGTTGAGCTTTTGGGATGTGTAGATTAATGATTTTCATCAAATTGGGAATATTTTTGGTCATTACTTCTACAGATATTCTCTCCACCTCTTTATCTCCCTCCTCTCCTTCTGGGCCTTCCATTATGCATATGTTAGATGTTTGATGGTGTCCCACAGATATCTTAGGCTCTATTCCTTTTTCTTCTTTATTTTTTTCTTTCTGTTCCTCAGACTGAATAATTTCAATTAATTTATCTTCTTTTTTTTTTTTTGAGAGGGAGTCTCACTCTGTCACCCAGGCTGGAGTGCAGTGGCATGATCTTGCCTCACTGCAACCTCTACCTCTCGGGTTCAAATTATTCTCCTGCCTCAGCCTCCTGAGTAGCCAGGACTACAGGCATGCGCCACCATGCCTGGCTAATTTTTTATTTTTAGTAGAGACAGGGTTTCGCCATGTTAGCCAGGCTGGTCTTGAACTCCTGACCTCAGGTAATTCACCCACCTCAGCCTCCCAAAGTGCTGAGATTACAGGCATGGGCCACCATGCCCAGCCAATTTATCCTCAAGTTCAGTGCTTTTTTTCTTCTGCTAACTCTTACCTGTTGTTGAGCCTCTCTAATAGATTTCTCATTCTAGTTATTATACTTCTGAACTCTAAAATTCCTATTCAAATTATTTTATAATTTCTATCTCTTCATTGTTATTTTCTATTTGACGAAACATTCTCAGACCTTCTTTTAATGCTTTAGATGTGATTTTAGTTCTTTCAACATATTTATAAAAGCTGATTTAAAGTTTCTGTCTACTAGTCCAATATTTGGGCTTCCTTAAGGACAGTTTCTGTGAACTATTATTTTTCCCTTCTGTATGGACCTTACTTTTCTGGGTTTTTCCCATGTCTCATAATTTTAATTGAAAGGTAGACATTGTAAAAGATGGATTGTGGCAATTCTGGAAATCAGGTATCTACTCCCTCCAGAGTTTATTGTTGTTGCTGTTAGTTATTGTTCTTTTTCACTACTTGTTTTGTTCAGTGACTTGTCTGGATTGATTCTGTGAAGTCTGTATTCCTTGTATTTAGCTGCCGATGTTTATCCTTGATTAACTTTGTAGTCAGGTAATGATTGGACATAGATTTCCTTAAGTGCCTTAAAACAATAAGTCTTCTACTCTTCACCTAAGGTCTCCATATGTATAGTGGGGCTCCAGTAGTTTATAACCTTGCTTTAGCCTCACGTCCTGATTGCACAGGGCCTCAGCATCAGCCACAGTTGAAATATAAGGGTGTTCTCAGGTGTTTTTTCTGGACAAGCACATTGTTCTGCCTTCTGGATTCTCAGGAATATGTTGGATTTTTCAAATCTCTCATGGAGATTTTATTTTCTACATATTCTTTTTAAGTCTTTTGGTCTTCCTCTGTTTGCCACTACTGGTATCACTAGCTCAGGAAACTGCAATGTGAAACAATTTCCTCTGATTGTTTTTGAAAAACACTCTGGGGATAGGGCTTTTTTCACTGAGCAAGATCTGAGACAAGTCAAATAATGACAAGCCCTGCAAATAAAGATTTTCCAGGAATTTCCAGATATGTCAGAAAGTGACAATTCTCTAGGGATGGATTTTTTTCAATAGGTATTGTTTTTAGAGCAGTTTTAGGTTCACAGCAAATTTTAGTGGAAGGTACAGAGATTTCCCATAGTCTCCCTGCCCCACACATGCACAGCCTTCCTCATCGTCAACATCTCCCACCAGAGTAAAAAATTTCTTACAGTTGATGGACCTACACTGACACATGATTATTACCCAGAGTCCTCAGTTTACATTAGTATTCCTTCTTTCTATTCTATATTCTATAGATTTGAAGAAGTTTGTAATGACATCTATCCACCATTATAATATCATACAGTATTTTTACTGCCTTAAAATTATCCTCTGTTCTCTCTCTATTCATCCCTTTTATCTCCCCAACTCCTGTCAGCCACTGATCTTTTTACTGTCTTCATAGTTTTGCCTTTTCTAGAATGGCAATAATTGGAATTATATAGTGTATAGGCTTTTCGGATTGGATTTTTCACACTGTAATATGCATTTAAGCCTCCATGCCTTTTTTGTTTTTGTTTTTGTTTGAGACAGAGTCTTCCTCTGTTGCCCAGGCTGGAGTGCAGCGGCATGATCTGGGCTCACTGCAACCTCCACCTCCCAGAGCATCCCGGGTTCAAGTGATTCATACATCTCAGCCTCCCAAGCAGCTGCGACTACAGGCATGCACCACCACCCTTGGCTAATTTTTGTGTTTTTAGTAGAGATGGGGTTTCACCATGTTGGCCAGGCTGATCTCAAACTCCTGGCCTCAAGCAATCCAACTGCCTCAACCTCCTAAAGTGCTGGGATTACAGGCATGTGTCACCATGCCTGGCCTTCCTCCATGCCTTTTTATGGCTTGATAGTTTATTCTTTTTTGCTCTGAGTAATATTCCATTGCCTGGATGTACCAGTTTATTTAATAATTCACCTGCTGAAGAACATACTGGTTGTTTCTAAGTTTTGGCAATCCTGAATAATCTGCTCTAAATTTCTATGTGCAGGTTTTTTGTGTAGACCTAAGTTTTCAACTCATTTGGGTAAATACCAAGGAGTAATATTGGTGGATCATGTAATGAAGACATGCTTAGTTTGGTAAGACACAGCTAGACTGTCTTCCAAAGTGGTTCTATCATTTTACATCCCTACCAGCTATGAATGAGACTTCTTGTTGCTTCACATCCTCACCAGCATTTGGCATTGTCATTCTTCTGGATTCTGGCCATTCTTATAGATGTGTAGTGGTATCTCATTGTTTTAATTTGCACATCCTTCCTGACATATGACATGGAGCACCTTTTCATATGCTTATCTGCTATCTGTATATCTCCTTCAGGAAAATGACTGTTAAGATCTTTGGTCCATTTTTTAATCAGATTTTTTTATTCTCTTATTGTTGAGTTTTAAGAGTTGTTTGTGTATTTCAGATAACAATCCTTCATCAGACTGTCCTTTGCAAATATTTTCTTTCAGTCTATAGCTTATCTTTTCACTCTCTTGACAGTGTCTGTTGCAGAGCAAGGATGTTTAATTTTAATAAAACCCAGCTTATCAATTCTTTCTTTCATGAACCATGCCTTTGATTTTGTATTTAAAAAGTCATCACTAAACCAAGGTCATCTAGCTTTCCTCCTATGTTATCTTCTAGGAACTCCAACTCTGAAATCACTTGGTCTTTCTGGTGACCAGCTCTATCCTGAGACTCTCTAGGTGCCCCACCTCATAGCATAAACTCACATGTGTTAAAAAGGGCCTCATTAATGATAAAAGGCATTTCTATCACTCAGGAAATTCCAAGAGTTTTAAGAGCTCAGGCCCAAAGCCAGGGACAAAGGCCTGAGCCCTTAAAACCCTTGGCATTTATAGTTTGGAGGCACAGGAAAGTCAGTAATCGCGTCCCAATCTGAACCCAAAGCCCTGAGAATCAGAGGAGTCAACACTGTACAACCCAGTTTAACTCTGAAGGCCTGAAAACTAGGGGGTACAGGAAGGAGGATGGAGATGGTGTAAGTCTAGATTCAAGTCTGAAGGTCTGAGAACCAGGGCAGAAAAAGATGGTGTCAGCTCAAGCAGAGAGATAAAATTCATCCATCCTCTGCCTTTTTGTTCAATTCAGGCCTCAATTGATTGGGTGATGCCCAACCACATTGGTGAGAGCAATCTTCTTTACTCAGTCTATGGATTTAAATGCTAATCTCTTCCAGAAACATCCTCATAGAGACACCCAGAAATAATGTTTTACCAGCTATCTGGGCATCCCTTAGTCCAGTCCAAGTGACACATAATATTAACCATCACAACCAGCAATCTGCTTAATGCTTCTGATGACTCTTCAGTTAGATCACCTGACATGAATTGCATTCTCACAGGCCACAGAGAAAAGATTTTTACCATGGTGGGTGGAAGGTTTGTTGAACTCCATGGCAAGGATTGTGTCATTATGGCATTCTGCCTTCTGTGCTGGTCAGGGCTGATGCAGTATCTCCTCCTGGTTCCTTATGTTGCTCATAGGAGCAACCTAAAAGTTCCTTGACTCATGTCTTAGGAAAGGAGCCTCTCTTCTCCTTCCCCTCAACTCATCTCTGTAACCAATGAAGTACAAAAGGCCACTGGATCTATTTAGCACCCATGCTCCCTCAGAAGTTACTCTTTGGCAGGGCTCACATGGATGCAGTTTGCTGGTGAACAGGTAGAGGTTGCCATTAACATAGACCCACTCACTGTCTGTGTGCACTGTGGCTTAAACCTCAGATGTCACCACTGCATTCCTGGACTAAGGCTTCCTCAGCACCTGCCTGGATATGTTAGACAGTCTGGAAACATTGGGAAGTTGATATTTAGTGGAGCAGACTTCAACAAAAGGGAGACATGAACTGTTAGATAATTTTTTCTCTATTTTAAATGACCTTGTTGAAGACATCTCACAAGACCAATCTGCTACACTTACTGAAAAGCTGAGACTAGCTAATTAATGCATACCCTGTTATTTCTTCCCCTTCTTTTCCTTTCTTACTTTATTTTTCCCTCACTACTGTGTTCCTGGGATTGCACCATAAAAAATATATGTAAAACATAAACTTCTGCTTTGAACCCAGTTTTCTAGGGACCCCAAACAAGGATATTGTGATTTTTCTGCACATACCTATAAAATGATTTTTCTTTTCAACTGAGTACATGAATAATGTTGATAAAAATAAAATATGGGTTTTTTAAAAAAAGATGGAAAGGAGTAAAAAAAGATACTAAAGAATGTCCTACATCTAAATGAGAAAGTATGCTGAGAAAGAGGAAATCTAATCCAAAAAAACATAGGATTCATCAGAAGGGTGACAAAGTTTTGGAATGATACCTAAGGCATAATCTAGAGGAGAGAGAGAGAGAGAGATAGAGAGAGCGAAGGCTTGCATGAAAAAGGGCCAGAACAAAATGAAATGGATAAATTTTCTGATGTCTGTTATTTTGAAAAATAAAGTCCAGAGGGTTTAACCATGTAGCTTTTAGAATGTTTGGGAAGAATTAGCTATATGTACATAGAGAACCAAACAAATGTTGAAAAGAAGCAGTTATTAATTTCGGTAAAAGCAAATGGTGTTCATAAAGGAAAAGTAATCAGAACACAATGTAGCTTAACAGTACATAAGATTACATAATTACAGTAAATTGAACACTGAATGTGGATTAACCAAAAGTTGTGAAAATGTAATGGGCAATGAGCAGAAGGGACCTGATGGAAGAGAGCTAAGTCCTCATCTGCCGTCACAGGAAGTCAATGGATAATGTCTAGTATGAATAAATGAAAAAAACTGCCACAAAAGCATATTATTTAGAAATATACATTAAAGCCATAAGAAACAATTCAATGAATTGAAAATAGTTGCCACTAGGACAAAGGACTTATGGTAATCATGGACCTGCTGCTTTTCATTTTAAGTATTATAGTTAGACTGATTTTTTTCCCAGTCATCTAATTTATTTATACCATTTTTCTTTCTTAAAAATACTATTTTTTAGAACAGTTTAAATTCACAGGAAACTTGAGAAGATAATACAAAGTTTCCATATAGCCCGTAACAATTTCCCTTACTATTGACATCTTACTTCAGGAATGATACATTCCTTACAATTAATGAACAAACATTAGTAAGTTATTATCAACCAGAGTCCATACTTCATTCAAATTTTTAAAGGTTATTATTATTTTTTTTTGACAGAGTCTCACTCCATCACCTAGGCTGGAGTGCAGTGGCTCAATCTCAGCTCACTGCAGCCTCCACCTCCTAGGTTCAAGTGATTCTCATGTCTCAGCCTCCCGAGTAGCTGGACTTACAGGACATGCCACCACCTCTGGCTAATTTTTGTATTTTTAGTAGAGATGGGGTTTTGCCATGTTGACCTGGCTAATCTTAAACTCCTGACCTCAAGTAATCCGCCTGCTTTGGCATCCCAAAATGCTGGAATTACAGGCGTGAGCCATTGCAGCTGGCTGAAATTTTCAGTTTTTACCCAATGTTCCTTTTGTGTTATAGAATCCTATCCAAGACACCACATTATATTTATTTGTCTTGTCTCTTTAGGCTCCTCATGGCTGGGACAGCTGCCCAGACATTTTTGTTTTTAATAATCTTAACATTATTGTTGTAAGAAATACTCGTCAGGTATTTTGTAAGATGGCTCTCTATTGGAGTTTGTCTGATGTTTTTCTCATGATTATGTTGGGGTTATAGGTTTCTGAGAGGAAGACCTTAGAGGTAAAGTGTCATTTTCATTATATTATATCAAGGGTACATACTGTCAACATGGCTTATCACTGTTAATACTGGACTTGATAATCTGTCTGTGGTAGTGTTTGACAGATTTCTGCACTGTAAAGTTACTGTCTCCTACACCCACACCCACCTTTTCCTGACTGTACTCTCCATTGACTTTTAAATTATGTAAATGTATTACTTTCATTAAAACTAATGAAAATATGTTGGAGTTTTTCAGATGCTTTATTTCTGAACTACATGGTATACTCCTAGAACTGTGGACAGCAGCATGCAAAAGTGTAAGACAAGTAGCCAACAAAGAGTCGTAGTGAGCATGGTGGGGCATGTACCCAGGGAGAAGCAGAGCAGCCAATGGGATGTCAGTATGAGCTGGATGCAAACCATTATCAGGCTCAAGAGTAGCTATGGATTAGAGGTGCTTGGGTGGATTAGACATTGATGGATTGTGTCCAAGGGCCCAGACAGAGAAGTGAGATAGACCAAGATGCCACAAAACACCAAATTAGATTGGGCAGAGATAGTTCCTAGGCAAAAGTTTTGAGTATAAGAAAGTTGGAGATCTAACTAGATAAGGAAATTAACAGTGAGTCAAGAATTTAGGCAAGAATCTGAATAATAAGATTAGAACACTCCTGAGGGGAAAAAAAAAGTTACTATTCTAAAGACATTTTGACTCAGGTCAGAAACTATTTCTGAACATAGAAACCAGTCTCCTGTATTACCTACACTGAGGCTTTCAGCTGGAGTCCTTGAGGTGAGACTGGATCCCTTGGCTGGAGTAGAGAGTGTGGAAGCAGAATTCCTGATGTAGTATAAATCATATTTTGGTGATGTATGTCATAAAGGTTCAATAAAATGACACAGTTAACATTTTATGTGTTTGATAAATTGAAGCTGGTATTCCTTCCATCTCCAGAAGTGTATAAGCCACTATTTTGAGCCAGAAGGAATAAAAAATCCCATTTTCTTCTGGGATATTTTTCTAGAACTGATGGCCTCTACAACAATAATCAAAATTGCTTTCCTACATAGTTTGATAAGGGACAGTGAAGGGTGGCAGTGCTTGCTGCCAGACCTTTGTCTAATCAAAATTGCCCCTTCTGTGCTCAAATGTCATTCCTATGCAGAAGGAAAGAAATAATCCCCATGTGATGTCCCCTTCCTCACCCCTAGTCCATTTACTCACAGAAGTCAGAAACGGTTTCTCAGGCCAGTTGTCCATCTTCACAGGGGAAAAGGTTGGCTCTTAATTTAATTAAAAAATTAAATAGTTACCCTTAATTAGACTCTCAATTGTCTCAGAACTCTATGAGGGATCAGGGTTATGAGGTAAAGAGAGCCCAGAGCCTGCCCTCAGAAGTTCACATTCTAATGAGGAATTCAGGCAGGAACACAACCCTGTTCCCCAATGTGATCAGCCCTCTCAGTCCTCTGATTGGGATAATCACATGACATTATGAAATCCCTCAGAGGAGTATCTAACGCAATAGATACTCCTAGAAGAGTTATCTAACCCAAGACTTGCTGGAGTAATGATATTGTGAAAGAAACACAAATCTGCTTAGATAAGAAGAGATTTTATTCAAAAGAGTTATTGCAATATGGGAAAGGGGACTATTGCAATAGGGAGAGTGCTTTGACTGTAAGATCTGCAAACACTTAAAAGGTCATGCAGAAAGGAATTTTTCTTTTACAGGAAGGTAGAAAAAGGCTAGAAGGAATCAGGTATGGGGGAGTGGGATGAGCAGGTGGCATAATCAGACAGTTGATCGGGAAATGTCTTTTCTTATATCTGCTGATTATCTGGAAAGGCTGCTCAGGAGGGACTGTTCTGTGTTCCAATACTCAAAAATGGGGCAAAGTTCAGGAGTTTGGGGGTGGGAGAGAAGCCTGACATTTTGGTCAAGTTCAGTATTTTGTCCAGATTGGTCAATGTAGACAGCTTAGGTAATTATTATGAGGCAAAAAATGAGAATTGGAGGGTCTGTGGCAGGTCTTGTCATAGGTAAACAAGAAGGACCTCAGTGAGTTGTTTTTTTTTTATACTTCAAGTTCTAGGGTACATATACACAACGTGCAGGTTTGTTACATATGTATACATGTGCCATGTTGGTGTGCTGCACCCATTAACTCGTCATTTACATTAGGTATATCTCCTAATGCTATCCCTCCCCGCTCCCCCCACCCCACAACAGGCCCTGGTGTGTGATGTTCTCCTTCCTGTGTCCAAGTGTTCTCATTGTTCAATTCTCACCTATGAGTGAGAACATGCGGTGTTTGGTTTTTTGTCTTTTTGATAGTTTGCTGAGAATGCTGGTTTCCAGCTTCATCCGTGTCCCTACAAAGGACATGAACTCATCCTCTTTTATGGCTGCATAGTATTCCATGGTGTATATGTGCCACATTTTCTTAATCCAGTCTATCATTGATGGACATTTGGGTTGGTTCCAAGTCTTTGCTATTGTGAATAGTGCCGCAGTAAACATACGTGTGCATGTGTCTTTATAGCAGCATGGTTTATAATCCTTTGAGTATATACCCAGTAATAGGATGGCTGGGTCAAATGGTATTTCTAGTTCTAGATCCCTCATTGTGGTTTTGATTTGCATTTCTCTGATGGCCAGTGATGATGAGCATGTTAGGCTGTTTCTTTGCAGTAAGCCTTGTCCTGGAACACAAAAGTATGCTCAGGGGGTGAGGGAGTATTAATTATCTGTTGTAGCTATTTCCCAATAGCTCAGAGATAGGGAAAGTTCCATATTGTCAATATCTAAAATGCTATTAAGCAAATCAGGGATAAGATAAACAGCCACGGGATAGGACAAATATCCATGAGGTAGGATAAACAGGGCAAAATCGAGAAACATGAGGAATTGGTGCAGTTGATCTCAGAAGTAGGAGACTGTTAGCAGGCTAATGCAGCAATTTAGAAAGAAACGTTCACTTGAATCAAGGAGCGGTAGTCAAACACCCAGCTCAGTGTTGTCCTGTGAGATGGAGTTAAGCTGTCGTAAAGGGAAACCTAGGCAAAAAGTGAGCCATAAAACTACTGAAGAGGCTTACTTCAGTTGAGAAAGCAGTGAAAGCAGTAATCAGATCAAGAAATTGGGCACTCAGTTTGATCTGTGACAAGATATCAGATCTTGATATCCAAAAGGCCAAGAAGCGAGACCACATGAAGCAGACATATTTTAAGACAATTAGAGGACTATGACTGCACTGTGATGTCATACTTCACAATCATGTTCATATTGTTACTATCAATAGCTTTAAATTAGGGAACGCATTCTTATAACCAGTCACATTTAAAGAATTAACAAAGTATACTCAGCACTAATCCAGAGCTTTAAGTACATAACTGGTAGAGATCAAATATCTCCCTGACAAATTTCTTCTTTACATACAATTTGATAGTTTTCTCAATACTGCCATTCTCATCCTCAGACACAATTTTTAGAGAAATTTTTCTAAATATTGCATCCAAGATATGAGCTTCCATCTTCCTTAAAGTACCACAAAATCAAGACTATGTTTTTTCAAAACAAGTAAAATAGATTTTTGTCAATATCTGTTTGACATAGTTAATGTCAACAAGTATTAATATTAAACCAGTAGGTTTTTTTTTGTTTTTTTTTTTTTACTGTTTACAATAATGAAATTAACTGGGAAACCGTCATCTCTCTTACCATTGAATAGATTTTGCAAATGTTATAGCTGCTAAGATTAAACTTTCTTAATAGACTTTCTCTCTTCCATCCATCTATCCAATAGTTATTGAGTAACTGTGATGTGCCAGGAAATATGCTAGGTTTCAGGAATATAAAAATGAGTAAGTCGAGACTCTATATTCAAATATTTCACAAAAATGAAAAAGAGAAGCATCCACATAGTTGTAATATATTGTGTATGTATTATGCACTAAATTAAAAACCATGATGTGAGCCCTTTCATTATCTAAAGTCAGATTCCACTGTGGCTTGTTTTTGCACAGCTGGGGAGCTAAGAATGTTCATTGCATTTTTAAGGGCTTTTTAAAAAAACAAAGAAGGTAAGACAGACACCTTATGTGGCCTGCAGAAGAGAAGATATTTACCAGCTGCTTCTTTCAGAAAAAATTTGCTTATTCCTGGACTAGACCAGTAATTCTTAAATGAGTGTGTCCCTCAAAATCATTTGTTCACTTCATTTGTTATTTTAAATACACATGCTAGGTGAGATCCTGGAGTTTTTTTTGTTTTTGTTTTTGTTTTTTTTGCCAGATTTGGGTGCTTCTCATGGGTACTGTGGTTGAGAAGCTCTGCTTTACACACTTTCCCTTAGTTCTCAGAACACTTATCTGGGTTTATAGAGACTTTTAGCAAAGACTTTCTTCATTAATACAGCTTACCCTGTATATCACAGAATATTCCTCTCACCCTATTTCATGTGCCTTAGGATAGTCCCCTTACCTCTTTTATAATAACATGGTAAATTAATATAGTTAGCTCTTTGAAAGGCATAAAACATTCATATCTGTTATATAATTTGATCCTAATAATAATAGGTCCTAGAATTACTACCTTACAGATAAAGAAACTAAAGTTCAGAGAAGTCAAGCAGCTCAAGGTCACATGGAGCTTCTAACACCGACTCCATTGTTCTTTCTCGACACTGTCTCCAACTTACTTTATCTGATTCTCCATTGAAAAAGACTACAGTCTATTCTTACTACCCGGTAGCAAAATTTCATTACATTCCATAAATCTGTTAGCTAAAGAATGTAATTCCTGTTTAACTTGAGAGCCTGTATGTCTTAAGGCAGACTTGTGTTACAATAATTCCTCTAATTTGCAAGCGCTTTTTCACATATATTATGTACTTGAAATAAACTAGACGCTAACTCCTACTCAGGTATAAATGGAGAAAAAAGTATCTCTCCAGAGCATTATTCAACATAAAGCTCATGAAATAATTTGCAGAGGCACAAGGTTCATCCTGCCTAAGCAAATTAAACAATTTTGTTAACCCTGATGTCTTTTGTTAGAAGTGAAATGTATGATAACTGTGTTGGCTCTGTACTACACGGCACCCAGAAGCCTTTGTTTGCTCTCAGCTAGAGCTATTTATACCCCAGGATATTGATATTCTGCTACTTAATCAAAAAGTACAACTAAAAATAAATATAAATGTCACATTCTTTTGAGTATGCAAAGAGAAAACAAAGGAAAAATAACAATCAAAGAATTATTTATAAACATTTTGAATATATTCTTCATTTTTTCCAAAAGTCTTTAATTTTTGACCAATCATTATATTCAGAAGATGTAAGAGGCGATAAAACTTGAACACATTCCTTATTAGATTGTATATTTGTCCAGTTTCACTTAAAAGTAAATTTGGATATTATTGATGGCGGGATTGAAGGAATAACATATTTTTCCCTGTATTGGCATATCTTGGGAAGATATTTGATGTTGCTGCCTAGGAAGTGTCATGATATTCATGTTTCTGTCCAAAGATGGGTGGAGGAATCATCTAGGAATAAATTTGGAGATGCATGTCGTTAGGGAAGCAGGAGCTTAGGAAAGCTGAAGTAATGCCATTTTAAGTAAAACCCCATCTTAAAACTAGCAAGGCACATTCCTTGCCAGTTACAACCCATGGTCCTAAGATGTTTATAGCTAAGGAAGCAGCTTAGTAATGCTTGCAAGGACAAGCTCCTACAACAGAAAGTCCAGATGTTCCAATACCCATGACAATATATGCTTTCAAGATAATTATAGTTATGCTTTGATGTCCTTACACACTAAAATGTCAAGGATAGTTTTCTTTAAATCAATAGAATAATAAATTTTGTCATGCTGTCAGCCCACCCGCACGTAGGCACAGCTTAGTTTAGTCTTTACATTTTTCTTTTTTATATAAGAACAACTTAAAACAAAGGCAGTGCATTCCTCCCCTTGCTTTTCTAAAGATGTCCTCCTCTGTAACAGACTAGCTCTCAATAAACTATCTCTTCCCGCTAAACTCTGGGACTCCTTGAATTCCTTTCTGTGTGAGATCCAAGAACCCTCTCTTGGGGTCTGGATCAATACCCCCTTTTCTGGTAACAATGTCAAAGGACACAGTGGAAAGACAATTTTGGAATGTCATTGTGTGCAGAAAAAGAAGGTAGCTGGCCAGAGGATTGCTTTATTTAAAAAAAAAAAAAAGAAAGAAAAAGAAGAAAAAATAGACTATTTTTAGAGCTATATGAAGTTTACAGAAAGATTGTAAACGAATTACACTCCTTCCCCCATGCTCTCCCCACCCCCAAACTGTTTTCCTCTTATTAACATCTTGCATTGGTGTAGTACCCTTATTACTACCAATGGACCAATATTGATACATCATTGGGTACACTTTTTAGAGACAACAAATTCCAGAGTTACGTAAATCAGTGAAGCTATTTAGGGATAATAAGTAATTAATAACAGCGTTTTGAAGAGCATATTGGAGGAAGTCAAGTATTATAGAGACTTTTTACTAATTCAAACTAGTGCAGCATGAGATTAACTTTTCTGGGGGCTTCTAGGAAAGCAGATTCCTCCATTTTCTGTGGTATCTTTCAAAAGCTAGTCCTCTCTTTCTTTTTTTCCCTTTATTTTAATTTAATTTAATTTTCTAGAGACACAGTCTTGCTTCATTGCCTAGGCTAGACCTCTCTACAGTCTTTTTACCAGGACAAGAGAAACCAATTTTAGAATGAAGATGATGATGTACAAGGCAGAGAAGAGAGACCAACAAAACAAGAAAAAACAAAATAAATCAATTTTATTTTGATGTCTTTAAGTCATTGAATCAAATTTGTCCTGAAGCTTATACTGTACTACTTAACAATCTGTTGAACCAGTAAATCCTCTTTATTGTTTAAGCTAGTTTCAATTGGATTTTCAGTGCTTGCAATATAAAGCATTCTAAATGATATATAATCATATTAAAGGTAACTGCGTAGTTTTGTCATCCTCTTGAATGTTCCTATCAGGCATTGTTATTGATAGACATCCAGATCAACTGCTCCAATCAAAAATCTGTAAACCGACTAGGCAAGCTGCAACCCATGTGCAAATTTCTTCCCTAATTGTCTATGTCTGTGACTGTGTGTGCTGTCATATGTGTATTTACTCACAATTGTTGACTGTGCTGGAAAAGATCATGGCATCTGAAGGAACCATGGTAGTACAACCGAAGTCCCAAGACGCAACGATATTTTGAACATTCCTTACACCACTTAACTTCACAAAAAGGCGCAAGAGAGCTCATTGCCTAACACAATTTGGTGTGAAAAATAGAGGGGAGTACATATAGCATGATGCTCTTTATATAAAGTTAAAAACACAATTCTTCAACTACTGTTTATAAATTCCCGAAGACTACATAAAAAGAAAAGCACTGGAATTATGAAATAGGATGCTGAATGATGGCTCTTTCCAGTTGATACGAACCACAAGGTTAGTTACAGGTTTCCGCCGTGGTCCTGACTTTTGTCTTGTGTGGTGCTTTTGCAGATGCTTATTACATTATTATTAAAAAAAAACCAATTAAATAACATCTTTAAAGATTAGAGAGTAAAATTGTGTAAAACATACCCATATATTTTGTTTCCCGTTTGGAATTAGACAATTTCAGAAATTAAACACAGTACATCAATAAAGGGTCCTAAGTAGAAGATGTGTTTCCAAAGAACTTTTCAGATATCTCATCATTTTCTGGCTCAGCTCTTCCTTCTTCATTCACAGCATAAAGGTTTTTCATTGGTTTGCGTATTTGCTTAAGTTGGAACGTGGCAGGTAATGGCTAACCATGTTAGATTAGTCAAATCAAATCCCATACATTCTTCCCTGCTCTACTGTCTCCCAGGAAGCCTAGGAATATATTTTCAGTGACTAATGCTCTGAAATTCTTTTATTCCTGGCAAAATTAACTGATTTAGTCATCTAGTTCTTTAATTTACAAATTACAAATAGCTTCATCATGTATAATGTCAGAGAACATTCTAAGAACAGTTTGGACCAAAACTTTTGACCAAACTAATTAGCTCAGTTTGTCTATACAGCAGATTAATTACAATGAAGAATATATCTGGATCTCTGACAGTCTGTCCACCCTAGAGATGATGCATGGATGTTAGTGTTGGTGGTCAAGACTCGCTGTTCTTAGTGTCTAGACAGGGTCTAGGAGGGGAAGACCTCAGCGGGATCTACAACAGACCTGTAGCCCCAAACCAAACTTCATTCATCTATACTTCTACATGTGTTATTTGTTATGAAATAGTCTTTTCAGCCACATCTGCATGTGAGGATAGTAATCAATGTCAGCAGAATTTTTTTGTAACAGATAATTACATATGTGCATTCATACACACACACACATACACACACACACAAATGTAAACATACATTTAAATTTTTTTCAGAAATCATCTTCTTTCTTCAATAAATCATTCTTCTTTGGGCACCAAAACACCAAAAACCCTCTTATGTGATCCCAAACAAGTTGTTGTTTTTTCAAATCTAGTGGGTAATAAACCCAGTTTCTAGTATTGTAATAAGGTCATATATGAATATTCATAAAGTCATGTCATGCATTTTAGGCAAGCAAATGGCAGACTTGGGATTTCTCTTTTGACATCCAAGTATGAAAATTACTCTCTCTATTTCATTTATAAAATGATTACTATTCCTCTAACACTGACTTTTAATTTACTTATCAGTGGTGAAACTATTTTTCTTTTGTGAATTAAGAATAAAGTTGTTGAGCAAAAAGTGGATTCTTGCTGAGAAATGTAGGACATTCAGGAAAGACCTGCAGTGTATTATGACTTGGTTTAACTACTAAACACTAATTCAGTTTCAACAATAACTCTCATTAGAGGATGTAATTTCTTTTGAAATACATATGAGAGGTTTGGATATTTTCTTCTTCACATATATTTGAGTGACTTATTTAAAAAATATTTACAGTTCAGGTACATTTCAATTCCTTAAAAATCGGTGTTTCAGAATGACAAGAAGGATTTAATTAAGTTAAATGTAGTCTATTTTCTCACTTGTGGCCTGCATGTATCAAAGTCTTAGCATGATTATTAGAACTTAAAATTGAGAAAAGTGTTCTAGATTTGCACTGAAGAAAATGTAAAGGCCTTTTCAATATGTCTAGTTAATAGATGTGAACAATAGACTTGTACCTGCAGTGCATGAATGAAGGAAAGTAGCTTATGTGGGGTGCAAGAACAGGATCACTGAGGGTCTTGTGGGTCAGAAATGGAATTTTAAAACCACTCCACTGCTTCAGAAGAAAACCATATAAAGAATAAAGTCATAAGATGTGCTCTGAGGCTGGGGTGTGAGCTAACAACCTGAAGGCAACCACCTTCAAAAGCTGTGCAGAAGTGCTCTCAACCCACTCTCTAATGTATTCCAAGGCTAGAGCATGGCTTCTCCACCTACTGATCCTCAATTCTCACAAAAATACAACCAAAGGACTTTGCTGACCCTGAAACTGGTTTGGGGCCCCCAAGGTTAAAGTGTAAGGTTAAAGAAGTTCTAAGTCTAGACACCAATAAATAATGACCTGAGCCTCATAAATCAGCATTTTTGCAAACTGCAGCAGGCTGTCTTTGGTTTCTTAAGCCAGCTAAAACTTTAGGCAGGCTTAGTTCATGGCAACTGTGATCACCTCACCTCAGACTACTTTTTAGAGTTGTTAAACTGGAATAGCATGATTATGTTTAAGGAAGTCAACTTTTTTGTTTAACTATGGGGGACATCTTTTGTTTCTAATCAGTAAATTAATAATTCTAAGTATTGATAAAAAGTTATTTAGGAAGGGTCTCCCTCACTAATAGGATTTGTGTCCCACTGCTGTTCAAAATGCTTTGCTTATGCAACACTGTTACAGTTAGTGCTTCAGTGATGGTCAAACAGAAGTATTTGACAGTGATTAATAAATCAAAGCCATTAAGGATCTGTGGTTTTCGTGTATTTCTTGCTTTCTAGGATTAGTATTAAATGAAATAAATAAGATCCCTTTTAACTTGGAGGAAAGACTGAAATGATCTGATATGGACAAACTAAAGACACAGTTTAGACACATCCAAATATGCTGAAAATGAGATTAAGAGGAAGAGTTTTAAGTTTCTTAAAAAAAACGAAAGCATTTATGTTTGCCTGATAGTGATTTCAAAGTTACCCTCACAGCAAAAATTTGAGGAAATATAGTAACTCATAAGAGTGATCATTAGCTACTGGTAAAATGAAGAGCATAATCCAGTTTCTGGCAAGAGATGCTCAAGCATTTGATATTTTGTATTTTCATGGGAAAATACTCATTTCTGGATTACAATTGAGTTTGGAGAGATTTTTGAAAAAGCAAAGTGCTTTCATCCATGCCTTGGTGTGTCATTTTGATTTAAAAAATAGCCCCTCCAGTAAAATTTAGATATTTTTCCAAGAAAGTCATGTCAGCATATTTTCTAGCAAATTCAAACAATTTCTTAGAAGTACACTCATCAGTATTAGCAATTATTAGTAATAATGGCAGCTAAATATTTATATGAACAATGAGTGCAATTATTTATCTTTAAAATTTACTTGTGATCAAGCAAGCATACTCTTTACCTAATATTAAACTGTGCACTGGTGAGTGAACATTTTTTCATTTAATATCCTTATTCGCATTTTTCTTGATGCTTATTTGTATATTTCTATTGATGTAATAGCTTGCAAGAAAAAGAGCTCATGTCTCTGCCTGAAGGTGAAATCTTATGAATATGCAAATAATGTTTTGATGAGATGAAGTTTTTCTTTGGAATGGAACTGTTCCCTCTTAGGTTATACTGAATATTAGCCATAGCTTAGGACACAAAGCACATGAAGACTGAGTTTTTAAAGAAAAAATATCTGAGAAATAGTTGCTTTCTAGTTATAAAACATGCTGTGTTGTTGAATCTGGTATTCTCAATTTAGCTTAATGCTTTGTTGTAAAAAAAATGCCATTTAATTTTTATTGCATAGAAGAGTAGTGAACCAGTAATATGAAAAGAAGTATGGATTGTCTGCCCTGTATGTTGCCCTGTAGTTCTTAAAATGCAAATTCTGGAGGCACATCTTTTAACAGTTTTAATTTAACCTAGTACGATGTGTCCAGATGACTTAAAATGTTTCTTTGGTGAACTCTGCAGAATAAACCCAGTTTTTTATAGTATCTTGTTCTGTAAAAATATTCTACTGATGTTCAATTTCAACTCTAGACAAAAATCTTGTGCACAAACCTCAGTAAAGTATTAGGTTGAGAACTTAGTGAGATAACAGCACTGGCTTCTGAAGCTATTATTGGTGTCTAGACAGGCTGAGTTCTCTATTCAGGGTTAGATTGGCCCTCAGCTGGAGAGGACTGCCTCACTTTCACTTTTCTCCAAACACCAAACCAGTGGTTCTCAAACTTTGGTTGATATCAAAAACACCTGGGGATCTTGATAAAAATACAAAAGTCCATGCCCCATCCTAATTTAATGAGCCCAGGTCAGTGTTCTTTTCTGGCTCTCTGAGATTCTGATATACACGAAAGTTGGGGAACCACTACACTAAACAAAAGCTTAAAGGAAAATATTGGGATAATAAAAACAAACCTATGAAGTAGGTTAAGCAGTTTGAAAATATTTGAGGTATGGCTACAGTTAAATACGATGATTTTTTTTAAAGAGAAAAAATACTTAGTATAGAACTTAATGAAGCAACAATGAAGTCATGTCCTTCTTCCTCACATTAAGAATTTGGAATCCTTCTGAGCTTTAAACTAATAAAAATTTACAGTTAAAGAAAGAGATTAGGCCCTTGGAAGTTCCAAGATACTGAGTCTAAAAGTGAGGCAGAGATTTGGAGAGTTATTAAAACACCAATCAGGATAAATTAGGACAAGAATATGACCAATTAAAAAGTGTGAAATCCAGCCGACCACATTTCACCCTTAAGGAAAAACTTAGGGTGAAATATGCCTAAGAAGATATATAGGCATATTATATCTATATATGTAGATATATATAGATATATATATCTATATCTATTATATAATATATATATAAAAATATAAAAAGAAATATGCCTAAGAAGATATATAGATGGCAAATAAGCATTTAAAAAGATGTTCAACATCATTTATCATTAGAGAAATAGAAATTAAAATAGCAATGAGATACCACTATACATCTATTAAAATGGCTAAAATCCAAAAAACTGTCAATACCAATTGCTGGCAAGGATACCAAACAACAGGAACTCTCATTCATTGCTGATGGGATGCAAAATGGCATAGCTACTTTGGAAAACAGTTTAATAGTTTCTTATAAAGTTAGCATAGTCTTACCATATAATCCAGCAACCATGCTCCTAGGTATTTCAACTGATTTGAAAACTTATGTCCACACAAACACTTGTATATGAATGTTTATTCATAATTCCAAAAAATTGGAAGCAATCAAGATGTCCTTTAAAAGATAAGTGGATAAACAAACTGTTGTACATCCATACAATGGAAAACTATTTAGTAATAAAAAGGAATAAACCATTAAGCTATGTAAAGACAAGGAAGAATCTTAAATGCATATTGCAAAGTGAAAGAGATCATTCTAGAAAGCTATGATTCCATTTATATAACATTCTAGAAAAGGCAAAACTATAGAGACATTAAAAAAAGATTAGTTGTTGCCAAGGGCTTTGGGTGGTAATGGTTTGGGATGTTGATTAGGAGAAGCACAGGGGAATGTTTTAAAGTGGTGAGCTTCTTTTATATGTTACTATAATGGTGGCTACATAATGCCATGCCTTTGTTAAAACCCATAAAACTAATGTTATGGCAAAAAGAATAAAACAATATATGCAAATTTAAAGATATTTCAGAGATTGGAGGATCCCAGAATGAAATGCAACAGTGACATAAGAATCTAATTGTACTGCAATTATATGAAATAATCTCACTAAACGTAGTTGAAGAATCAGTTGCTGACCTAAGGAATTTGAAAATGAGTGGAATCTGTAAGACTAATGGCAAAAGCAACTGTACATAAGCACCTTATTATAGTTGATCAAGTAAATTTTCCCATGGGGGTATGAATACATATACACAGCATACATGTATACTGGAATTGAAAAGTTAAGTAAATGGATGATCGCTATGGTTTGAATATGTCCCCTAAAGTTCATGTGTTGGAAATTTAACCCCAAACGCAACAGTGTTGAGATATGGGACCTTCAAGAGGTGATTAGATCGTGAGAGCTCTGTCTTCATAAATGGATTAATCCTGTTATCATGTGAGTGGGTTAGTTGCCATGGGCGTGGGTTCCTTAAAAAAGTGAGTTTGGCCCCCTCTTACCTTCTCCCACACATGCTTCCTGGCCATGTGGTGACTTCTATCATACAACATAGTAAGAAAGCCCTCACCAGATGTGGCCCTTTGATCCTGGACTTCCCAGCCTCCAGAACAATGAGGCAAATAAACTTTCATTGTTTGTAAATTACCCAGTTGGTGGTATTTTGTTATAGTAACACAAAATGGGACTAAGACAATGATGGATGGTGGAAGCCAGGTTTCTCACCCATTGGAGTGGGAGCTTACAAATCAGCAAGTGTAACAGGCTAGAATGATCCATATGGTAATGAATTAGAGTTGGAGATTTCAATATGAAATCATGTTTAGCTTAACATAGACACAGATGAATAAAGGAAAAAAATTAGAGGTATGTGCATATATACGTGAGTTAGTATACACACACATATTTCCTCATTTCACCTTCCCTTTTATCAAACAGCCTAGAGGCAAGGAAGCCCCAGAAGAAACTAGCACACCTAGTACCCAGATTGTGTTTTGTAATATCATTCTCCAATGAAGGGAACCAGGGCTCCTTGGGGAGATGGCTGATTCTAGAATTGAGGTAGAAAATATACAAGATAAGTGTGGAGTATCTGGTAGTTCCAGAAAGTAAGGAAGTGCTCAAGAAACAAAAACAGAAAACCACAATGGGCATATGTCAAAGAGATACAGGAACTAGTTAGAGAGGCTTCTGCAGGCTTTACAGGAAGCACAGAGCTGGCATCTGCTTGGCTTCTGTGTAGGCCAAAAGAAGCTTACAATCATGGAGGGAGGCGAAGCAGGAGCAGGCGTATCACATGTTCCTGCCATGTGATTTCTGGTTCTTATAAAATATTAAATCCATGAATTGACACTTCTGAAGCTATTTAAAGAAATTTGTCATAGGCTTTGAAATTATAAAGACAGCTCCAAAAATATTTTGAGTAGTTGCAACAACTTTGAGCTAAGTGCCTTACTTCTTAAGGTAAAAGCTCTGAAGGAAAACATTCATTTGATGTTTAAGTTTTGGTAAACTTTATTTTAAACATAACAAAATGAACATTACAGTGAACTTATGTGAGTAATTAGTCAATGTACCTAGCATAAAAAAGTGAAGCAGTTATCTAAATAATTGCTTTATTTGATCACTTCTGCTTGGACTTGTTTCTTTTGTATTTTGCAACAGAGTTATATATGCACAATGTAAAATGTAAAATACATTTATAAACCTTGCTATAGAAAAATGGAGGTTCCTGCCTTCTCTTTCCCTGTTCTATTTTCTCTTCCCCAGAAGCACTTCTATCATTTTTGACTGATATTTTGATATTTACCTTCATGTCTCCAAATAGGATGCTTGCATAGCCTCTTGGTTTTTTTTTCACAGCTTTAGGTGTTATCTACAGATCTATTGCAATAGAAGTTGAAGATCTAGCTTACTTCCCCTCCCTATGTCCCTACAACACATACACAACTTTTCCATTTCTTCATTCTGTATGTATATTTATACCCCAATTTAGTGTTTACATTATTATGACCATAGTAAATATTATTCATGTGCCACGTGTCTGCCTATGTCATCTAGTAAATAGCTGTGCCATGTAGTCAACAAGTATTTCTTTTCCTTTCCTGCACAACTTTTTGGATTAATTATTTTATATTATTGTTTGTTTTCTTGGTTTTCCCTGACTTGTTTATCACTAATGCAAGCCCAAACTCTGTCAACTGTCTAACTTTCTCTCAAGTATATTAAGATGCAGTACATATTCTATCAATTTCTTCTCTTATTCTCAATTTCATCTTATGGAAGAAATCTTTCCGGGTGTGTTGCTTTGTCAACCCTGCACGATGATAGTTTGGGATCCTCCTTTACCATCATCTTGGGATTCCCTTTGCCTTATTCTTATGCTGATTATCCTTTGGTTTATTCTTTGGTTTTGTTTTCTCATCTTTTTAATGGATGACAAAACTTTGTACTATTCTTTGGTTTTGTTTTCCCATCTTTTTAATGGAGCAAATCCTCAGGCATTCTTCTGAGAAAAGGTACATGGGCAATAATTGAGATCGTACATGTCTGAAAATGTCTTTATTTATACTGAAATTAGATAGGTAGGTTTTCTAAGTATAGAATTCAAGGGTAGACATCATTTTTGCTTTATAATTTTAAACACATTGTTCCATTGCCCTTGACATTGAAGTATTGCTATTTAAAAATATAATGTCATTTCCATCTCTAATCTGTTTTGTGACATGAACCCTCTCATCAGAGTTTCCTGTAGCCAACAGTTTTCTCGAAGTCTGGTGTGGATCTATTTTCATCATGTATGCTGGCATTTTAATGAGTTATTTCAATCTGGAAAATCATATGTTTCAAGTCTGAATAGTTGTCTTGTACTGTTTGTTTAATGATCCCCTCCCCTCCTCTGATAGCAGAATTCTAAGATTACCCCCATGATTTCTGCCTTTATAGAAACTCCTCTCCTTGAGTATAAGTGGAAGTTTGAACTTCTAACCAATAGAATATGGCAAAGGTATCATCACTGGAGGTTGGAAAACTGGCTAGCCTTACGCAGAAAACTGAAACTGGACCCCTTCCTTACACTTTATACAAAAATTAATTCAAGATGGATTAAAGACTTAAACATAAGACCTAAATCCATAAAAACCCTAGAAGAAAACCTAGGCAATACCATTCAGGACGTAGGCATGGGCAAAGACTTCATGACTAAAACACCAAAAGCAATGGCAACAAAAGCCAAGTTTGACAAATGGGATCTAACTAAACTAAAGAGCTTCTGCACAGCAAAAGAAACTATCATCAGAGTGAACAGGCAACCTACAGAATGGGAGAAAATTTTTGCAATCTACCCATCTGACAAAGGGCTAATATCCAGAATCTACAAATAACTTAATTTACAAGAAAAAAACAAACAACTCCATCAAAAAGTGGGCAAAGGCCACCGTCTGGGAAGTGTGGAGCACCTCTGCCCGGCCGCCCAACTGACTAGGAAGAGAGAAGCACCTCTGCCTGGCCGCCCTGTCTGGGAAGTGAGGAGCGCCTCTGCCTCACCCCTGCACCATCTAAGATGTGGGGTTTCAGAAGAAAGTAAAAGTAGATGTATATGTTCAATTTGCCATATTTACCAGTAAATCTGTTAATGTTTTACTTGAATAATTTTCTGATTTTTCAGAGGAAAAGATACTTCAGATAACTGCTTTAGATAAAAACAAGCCAAAAACCCACCTGCCCTATGTTTTCTGGGATTTATATAAGAAAGTACATTCATTTTGTTTTTCATCAAAGCTTTGACTCAGGTCAGTAAGTTGATTAATCAATTTTAGAAAACAGTTCTTTTCTCTGGGAAGATTTAAAAAAAATTGTCAATAAATATATGGACTTTGAAAGAAGTAAATACCCTTTCATTGATAATTAATTTTTTGTGCTCACATAAAACCAGCAACTTCCACCTGCAAACAGATTATTTTGGAAGACTGTTGCCTGAAGCTGACATTTCTTTCTGTTAGCACTGGCTTCATTCCAATGTTGACAGCCTAGTCCGTCAAACTAGAAGAGCCTCTGACAAAAGTGCCGAAGAACCAACATTGTGTCTGTCTTATTTTTTTTTTAGTACTTATTCACATAGAAAGTATCCAAGACAAAATTCAAGCTAATTTGTAGATGTGAACAAATGTTCATAATGTAAGGCATTATTCCCTAAAAATAATTGTATTTGGCAAGTTCAAAGTTGAGAACATCATCAAAAAGATGATCACAACTGCTATTGAAAAATGTATGTCTCTAGGAGCATTTCAAACATCTGTTGAATTTTCCCAATATTCCTAACCTTGGTAGAGATGACTCTGCAATATTTGTTTATGTTTTTGTTTGAAGAACTCTTAGGAAATTCACCTCCCTGAGCAAAGAGTCCCAATATTATATTTGAGGGACATGCTCCAAGTCATAAATCTCCTATGTCTCTGTGTAATGTCACTTCCTTCCGAGAGGCCTTTCCTGCCCATCCTATCCAAAATAGTTCCTGGCCTGAAGCCTACAATTCTCTCTTTTGCTTCCTTTATAACACGTATCTGAAATTATGTTGCCTATCATTTGACTCCCTTTAACTGTCTAGATACCCCCTACCAGAGGTAAACTCCACAAAGGCAAGGGCGTTGTTTGTCCTGCTTTCTCTGCACCCCAGCTCCAGTACCGTAGTCTTTACATTTCTTCAGCCTGACTGCTTCCCCAGCTGTTCATATTAATTGCTCCTTCACATTCTTCCTGCCCCAGTTCACCTTCTCAGAGAGACCTCTTTAACCACAGTGTCCAAAGTCTAATGACTATCTATTTCCTTCAGGACCTTCAGTTGCAAGAGATCAAAGGTGACTTCAGTTGGTTAAGCAGAAAGAGAGTAATAAAAAGATGTTTTGTGGTTTACAGAATTGTTGAGAGGGCTGGAGAGCTAGGCTTGGGCTCAGCTTCCAGAACAGCATCTAAAGCTATATTGCAGAAGCAGAATTTATCTGATGAAGGAGTAATTCTGGCTACCAAAGGCAAGTTGGCTGTTTTGTGCCCTATATTATCTTGTAGCCCCAGCTACTATTACAGGAGGGAGGGAGATAGAGAGTGAGAAGGAGATAGTGGGAAAGAGTGCTGGAGGAAGGGAAAGAAAGAGGAAGGGAGGGAGGGAGAAAGAGAAATTACCTGAACTATCCTTCCCTTTTGCATCAGTAGCCTCTAATTTAAATTCTAGCATGGCTGTATTATTAGTGGAGCCTAAGTAAAATGCCTGTCTCTAGCTGGAAAAAAGATACATAAATAACTCCTATGGGGGAGCTAATCTTTGCCTAACACCAAAATTCGTGCATTGGAGCATTCTTAAAGCATTAAAAAGTTGACAGATGAGTCCATTATAGTCCCATTCACATCACTTCATTCATTTCCTTCCTACCTCTTATTAGAATATTTAAATGCCCTGTTATTTATATTTATTTTTATTTTCACTAGAATACAAGCACAAAGAGGATGGGAACTTTATTAGTTTCCTATTGGCTGTTGTGAGAAGTTACCACAAATTGAGTACCTTGAAATAACACAAAACCTATCATCTTATAGTTCTGGAGATCAGAAATTTGACACAGGTCTCACTGGGACAAAATCAAGATGTTGTCAAGGCTGTGTTCCTTGTCTTATTGCCGCTCCTTCCACTTCAAAGCCAGCAACAGTGGATTGAATCCCTCACATTTTTTTTTCTTTTTCCTTTTTTTTTTTTTTAAATGTAGACAGAGTCTCACTCTGTCACCCAGGCTGGAGTGCAGTGGCGTGATCTCAGCTCACTGCAACCTCCACCTCCTGGGTTCAAGCAATCTTCTAGCCTCAGCCTCCCAAGTACCTGGGATTACAGGCATGCGCCACCACACCCAGCTTCTTTTTGCATTTTTAGTAGAGATGGGGTTCCACCATGTTGACCAGGCTGGTCATGAACTCCTGAGCTCGGGTGATCCACACGCCTTGGCCTCCCAAAGTGCTGGGATTACAGGTGTGAGCCACCAAGCCTGGCCTCACATTTTGAATCTATCTTTCTTTTATCTCGTCTTTCTCCCAGCATGAAAAAGGTTCAGATTTTAAGGACTCATACGATTAGATTAGGCCCACCTAATCCACGATAATTTTCCCATCTCAAAGTCCATACCCTCACATCTGCAAAGCCTTTATTTTATTTTATTTTATTTTATTTTATTTTATTTTATTTTATTTTATTTTATTTTATTTTTTGAGACAGAGTCTCACTCTTTTGCTCAGGCTGGAGTGCAGTGGCGCAATCTAGGCTCACTGCAAGCTCCCTGTCCTGGGTTCAAGCAATTCTTGTGACTCAGCCTCACAAGTAGCTAGAATTACAGGCATGCCCCACCATGCACGGCTAATTTTAGTATTTTTATTAGAGACGGGGTTTTGCCATATTGGTCATGCTGGTTTCAAACTCCTGGCCTCGAGTGATCCGCCAACCTCAACCTCCGAAAATACTGGGATTACAGGTGTGAGCCACCGCGCCCAGCCTACTTTTATTTTTAAAGACAGGGGTCTTTCTATGTTGTCCAGGTTTGTCTCAAACTCCTGAACTCAAGTGATCCTTTCACCTCAACTGGGACTACAAGTGTGTGCCACTGTGGCCAGCTAAAGACTCTGGCCATTTAAGGTAACTATTCTCAGGTTCTGAGAGAATAGTGCACAGACATCTTCAGGAGTCAGGATTCTGCCTACCACTGTAACCTTTTCTGTCTTCACTGTTTTATCCCCATTCTCAAATGATGCCTGCCACACACTCAATAAATACTGATGGGATGAAGGAACCTAGATAATAGCAAAGTTGCATCAGCTTCTCTGTGCTCTCTGTGCCTTACACTCAGTCGGACTTCTCTGGGGCCAAGTCTGGTAGTAGAGGGGGATGTTTAAAAGGCAAAATTCTATTAACAGCTTGTTGGGAGAAAAGATGACTGTTGGGAGAGAAGCTGAGGCAGGGCTTGCATGTCTGCTAGACTTGCTGGTTCCTTGCTTCTAGCACTCCTGTTATCTCAAGCAGCCATATGTTTCTCATTCACTTGATACACTGTTTCCTTTCAACCCCCACGTCCTGACCACCTGTTTGTTTGAGCACCAGTAAATAGCGTGGGCTCCCAGAGCTTGGGGCCTTTGCAGCCTTCACACTTGTGATGGCCCCCTGGTCCCACTTTCTCTCTCAAACTGTGTTTTTCTCAATCCTTTGATTCTGCTGGACTTCTTCACCCCCACGACCTGGTGTTGGGTCTGATCACCCCAACAACAGCCCATATGGGGGATGGCTGGCAGGGATGCTTCACCCAGAATCATTTTGACCTGGAATGCTGGGTCTCATATTTTCTACTTGTCCTGGCCATCCAAGCCCATATCATTGGCAGGCAGATGTAGATCATAGAAAAATCCTTGGAAACTTGGGGGTCCCAGTAATGAATGGGAATCTGAGACAGACCAATCACACTCTTACAAACCAATTCAAGGTACTCTGAATTCAACTAAACCATGGCACTGTGACTGCTCAGACAACTGAACATGTGTATTCAGTATATTCCCCAACAAAACCCTGTAAAACATCCTCGTGCATGTGCCGAAGTGTGTGGGTGGACTGAGACCACACAATTATCATGGCATCTCTTCCCAGAAAGTCAATTTGAATACTAGCAAGTATTTTAAAGGGCATTGCTTAAATGTAAGACAAACATGAGGTCAGGTGCAGTGGCTCATGTCTGTAATCCTAGCACCTGGGGAGGCTGAGGTTTATGGATCACTCAAGGCCAGGAGTTCAAGACCAGCCTGGACAACATGGAGAAACCTTGTCTGTACAATAAATACAAAAAAAAATTAACCTGGCATGGTGGTGAGTGCCTGTAGTCCCAGCTACTTGGGAGGCTGAGGTGGGAGGATGCTTGAGCTGGGAGGTTGAGGCTGCAGTGATTCCTAATGGCACCACTGCACTCCAGCCTGGGCGACAGAGCGAGACCCTGTCTGAAAACAAAAATGAAAACAATAAAAAACATGAACCTGTTATGGGGTAGTATATAATAATTGCTTAAATTTTTAAGGAAAACAACCACAAGATTTTAAAGGCATTTCAAACTTCCTGCCTTGACTTACCCTCAACAGTTCTCTTGTTCCCTACCATCACTGGTATAATTCTGTTGTTGGAGTTTTGCCACTCAAAACTTTCTCCTGTACTACCAGTTAGGGATGCTTTGGTAGAAAATGTTTTTTAAAAAAACTGTTCTAAACCTACCTAAAATATCAGCTATCTGGCTCATGATATGGTCTGATATAGAACAGACAGAAAGACTGTCCTATGTCAGACCATATCATGAGCCAGTACATATAGGAACATATAACAGTCTTTCTATCTTTCTGGGGCTAGAATGATCACTCATGAAAGATTACTAAGAAGTGATATTTTGCAGACCTTATTCAAGGTTGATAAAATCCAAATTCTTGCCTTTTGGGTCTCTGAACAGCACCATGGTGGCTGGCAAGAATAAGCGTTTTATGAAAGGTGGCTAAAAGGAAGCCAAGAAGAAAGGGGTTGATCCATTTTCTAAGAAAGACTGGTATCACGTGAAAGCACCTGCTATGGTCAGTATAAGGAGTATTGGAAAGACACTAGGATTCAAGGAACAAGAATTGCACCTGATGACCTTAAGGGTCATGTGTTTGAAGTGGGTCTTGCTGATCTGCAGAATAATGAAGTTGCATTTAGAATAAACTAGCTGATTACTGAAGATGTTCAGGGCAAAAACTGCCTGACTAACTTCCATGGCATGGATCTTACCCATGACAAAATGTGTTCCATGGTCAAAAAATGGTAGACCATGACTGAAGCTCATGTCAATGTCAAGACTACCGATGGTTATTTGCTTGGTCAGTTCTGTATTGATTTTATAGAAAATGCAACAATCAGATACAGAAGACCTCTTATGCTCAGCACCAACAGGTCTGTCAAATTCAGAAGGAGATGATGGAAATCATAAACACAGAAGTGCAGACAAACGACTTCAAAAAAGTGTTCAATAAATTGATTCCAGACAACATTGGAAAAGACATAGAAAATGCTTGCCAATCTATTTATCCTCTTCATGATGTATTCATTAGAAAAGTAAAAATGCTGAAGAAACCCAAGTTTGAATTGGGAAAACTAATAGAGTTTCATGATGAAGTTAGTTGTTCTGGAAAAGCTACTGGGGACAAGACAGGTGCTAACGTTGAATGAGCTGATGGATATGAGCCACAAGTCCAAGAATCTGTTTAAAGTTTGATTTTAATAGTGGCAAATAAAAAAGCCTATCTGTCTGCAGCCAATTGAGTTGACCGAGCTCTTTTCCTCCTGGGGGCTTGGTGTGCAATGGCTGCAAACAGCAGATTCCTTGGTAGTGTATGCAGCCTGCTTCTTGTATGGGTTGCCTCTAAGGGACCTTGAAGGCAGCCCTTTCCAGTGTATGTTCATGTCTCTGACCTTATGCTGTCCCAGTGTAGGCTGTAGAGAGGTGTGCAAGCTGCCTTTGGAAAGTTTCAGAGTATCATAGCCTGGGTTCATATTGGCCAAGTCATCAGGTCCATCTGCACCAAGCAGAACAAGGAGCATGTGATTGAGGCCCTACACAGTGCCAAGTTCAAGTTCCTGGCTGCCAGAAGATCCACATCTCAAAGAAGTGGTGCTTTATCAAGTTCAATTTGAATGAAGTTGGAGACATGGTGGCTGAGAAGTAGCTCATCCCAGATGACTGTGGAGTCAAATACATCCCCAATTGTGACTCTCTGGACAAATGACAAGCTCTGTACTCATGAAGTCTTCCACTGTGTGGCCATCTCCTAATGCCAACCAATAAATCCTATCCATAAAAAAAAGAGTTCTATTTGTGGGGAAAAAAAATCCAAATTCTTTAATAAGGTTTCTAACTTCACAGATTCCTGAGTCAATGAATTTGACACCAAGATCCTTATGCAATAAGAAAGCAATGTTTCCTTGGTCACTCTTCTCCTACCTTTCTCTAGACACCCAAACCCCTAAGGTAACCATGAGCTTTTCATGGTGGCATCATTCCATGGAATTCTCAGGTCTCTAATCTAGTTCCGGACAGTAAATGAGTACTCGATATTTGTTGGCATTGCATTCTGGGACACCCTCCCCACATTCTTCATGTTCTAAAATGACCTTTCGCTTTTTTATTGTTCTTTCTCTGTTTTCTGCCCTGCAACCTCACCATGAACAATAAAACTGAGCTGTCACTAACTAATATCCTCCCATAACAGAGAGCCAAGAAAATTGATTATTCATTTAAAGTAATTCTTACTAAAATATGAATGGCCAGAAAGTATATTAGCTTATATTTTGAAAGTAGAAAAGATATTCAAATTATTTCATTCAATATGGTAGGAATTACATCTGTTTTGTTCCTTCTCAGATCTCTAATCCAGTGCCTGACAGGAAATGAATACTTGATATTTGTTGGTTGACTCGGAGAATATTTGGAGATGGTAGCTTTGAGTAAGGAAGGTATCTTAGTAGTCAAGTTTTTCTTTCACTGCCTATGTTTTTACTTATTTTGGCAGACATACAAATAAGGCCAATAGTTTTGTAGTGTTGATTGTTTTCACTACTTATAGCTAAAGATTTCCCTCATCTATGTTGTTGCATAATTTTAAATATATGTTAGGGTTTTGCTTTTTGGGGGAATGAATGTTTTGACTTAGAAATTTCTCTTCCTGCAAAAGATGTTTTAAAATTTTTCTTCTAGACCTGTTTGGACATACCCTAATAAAAGAATAAGCTCACAAGTGGAGAATTCTAATGCAATTCTCTATAGCATTTAACACATGGCAAGTGATCAATAAACACTGGCTGAAATAATTTTTTTTTTTTTTTTTTTTTGTGACAGAGTCTCACTCTTTTGCCCAGGCTGGAGTGCAGTGGTGTGATCTTGGCTCACTGCAACCTCCGCCTCCCAGGTTCAGGTGATTCTCCTGCCTCAGTCTCCTGAGTAGATGGGATTACAGGCACCTACCACCATGCTCAGCTAATTTTTGTATTGTAAGTAGAGACGGGGTTTCACCATGTTGGCCAGGCTGGTCTAGAACTCCTGACCTCAGGTAATCCTCACAGCTTGGCCTCCAAAAGTGCTGAGATTACAGGCATGAGACACCGCGTCCAGCTGAAATGAATTTGAAAGGCAATGTGGTAAGATCCAGAGCCTAAAATAAAACTCCAGGTTCTCAATCCAGACTCAGCCAATTGTGTGATCGAGTTCAAGTCATTTAACTACTTTGATGAGTGGTTTTCTCCCATTATTTCCGCATCCTGCTCCAAGCCCACTAACCTGTGAGGCTTAAGATCTTCAATTAAAGTTGTACTAAATTGTTTTTCAAGAAGATAAAAATGTCAACAATGGTACAAATTATACAGGCTATAATTGTTACACTTCCAGAAGGAGATTTAAGATGCAATACATAAAATATCAGCTACGTGGTTGCAATGAGCAATGATAGAATTTAATTTTGTTATATTTTCTGATGAGCTCATCCATGTTCTAGGTAAAAGCTAGACACAGAAAATAACATGGCCTCATGCTTAAGGGGAAATGTGTAATAGTGCCCACTGGGGAAATGGAACAATCAAGACGTGGCTCTAACAGTGACCTTGCTTGCCAGGCCTTTCCTGCCCACGTTCTCCTTCCTTTGGTCATCTTCTTCTTCTGGGAGTATACTTTCACTGGCAAGGAGTATAAAAAGCTATTACAAAAAGAAACCGGTAAAGTAATAAAATACTGACCCAGTGGGCAAGGGAATGAATTCTATCACTACAGAATGGTGTGTGGGAAAATATGTACAGGCAGGAGATGAATAAAAAGAGGCACTGTGCCTGTTACGAACTTGAACAGGAATTTTTAAAAACCCTATCATCTCACTTTTTCCCTGCTTTATTTTTCTGAATATACCTGACAGCTCAGAATTCCTCAGTGACTCTTTTTAAAAATTTCACATATTTTTGGTTCATCTTTTTTCCCTCCCTTTCGCAGTTTTTAAGCTCTCATCCTAACTTAAAAAATAAAAATTAAAAATAAAAAAGAATCACAGGGCTGGAGCTGGCATGTAACTCTTTGTCAGAGGATCCTCAACTTCTCTGCATTTGTGTCTCTTTATCTGTATAGTGGGCATAATAATACCTGTCTCAACTATGAAACAAGAACATGTGGCTAGCAAGTGGGAGGACATGGGCAAAAATTAACCTCTTCAGTGGCGTCATCACTATCTCTCCTCTCAAATCTCTCCTCAACTAGGTATAAGACTAGTTGCATGCCTCCAGGGCCCATGTCTTTTCATACTTTTCTATGGCCACATCCTCTTACTTGCCCACCCTGTAAATATTATTTTGTCTGTGCTGCCATCCCATTTTATTTTTTCTGTTTCTCTCCTGTTTTTAGTTCAAATGAACTAATAGCTTGTCAGTATTTACAGTCTATTTATCAATAACTTTTTAAAGCCACGTATAATTCCATTCCTGTGTGAAATTAAAATGGCTATTCTAATTCTTTCTTAAATTGGAACCATGTGAAATTTTCTTTAAAACCTATTAATCATATTTACATCATATTTTTTAAAATTAAGCTTTCTTATTAATCACATTTACAAATAGGAAAACTTGATTTTAATGTTCTTATATATTCACTATAGTTACTGATTTCCTCTTTGCTCTAACTGCCCTCTTTTGAAATTGCCCCTAAAAAAACACCTTTGGTGTTTATACACATAGAGTAGGATAAGTAGAACCAATTCCCCAAACTCCTAAAAATTTCTGTAGGAAACATATTTCCTTCACACTGTCCACACCAACTCAGTACTATGAAAACATTTTTTTCCTTTCATCTCTACAATGTGAAGAAAAAATAAAAATTAAAAGTTTGGTTCCCACATTACTTCAAGAATATAATTTTTTCTGTTAGATAAGGATCCCAAAATACTTCCTACAACATAGCCCCTACTGTTCCTTGTTTAGTCCAGACTATTGTTTTAAAGAAAGCAAATTAAACAAAGCTATTGGTGACAATGGACTGGAGTTCTCTGATGCAAAATTATAGATCTCAGGAGATATTTCAAATATGTCTTACCTAGTTGCTATTTATCATCAAACATACCCAAATGTTTGTAGTGTGTGAATATTTTAAAACAAACCTAGCATAGTGTCTGAGTACAGAGTTAAGTCAATAGTTTGGAAACATCCGTTTGTTTCTTTATATGCATTTAGCTACTGCTATACCTTTTTCAATGAATGAAGCAGACCTGAGCACACACAATAAAAGAAAGCAAAAATTACCAGGTTTGGACTTCACTTCACAGCTGGAAAGATTCTGTTGAGGCTGCCAGCAGGGGATCTTGCGTATTAATACCCTACCTGGAAGAGCTGACATGTTGGAAATGAGATTAACACCTTCCTGTTTTTACATTAACTAAGGCTAAAGTGTCATTTGCCTTATTGGGAGAAAAAAATTTAATACTGAGATGATGGGGTTGCAAACAAGGTATGGTTTTAAGAAAATGTTAAACTATGAGGTAGGGTTTTTGTGGTGGTGGTGGTGATCCTTTCAAGATAAATACCTGTACAAATAAAAGCCAAAACTATCAGGACAACTCAAAAGCTGAACATAAACACATGTAGCACAACAACTCCTTTTCAGGCCAATGCTAATTGATACGGTAAATAACTTGTCAGACTGCTTAAAAAATAAAAATAAATGAATACACTATGTCAAAGAGTACTGATGCTTAGGTATTTGTTGCCAATTCCAGACTAGCCAAGAAACAGAAGAGCTAATATAAATGATTTATTCATTCAGATATAAGATAGCACTTTTTAATTCTCTCACTTCACAATTCATCTAGTTACATATTTACTAAAGACGAGCATTTAGATGAAAAAATATTAAAAATTCTAATGTGAGGAAGCCTCAAAATCATTGTCATGTATAAGTGGGAATGAGTTGGGAGAAGCAGGCCAGGAGTAGCTTGACATCTCCCTCATCCAGACATGCTCAAAACAGGTACTGGTGGCCTTTTCTCAGGCTCAGAAGGCTGAGCTATCATCCATACGTATGTCATCTTCAGTTGATAGAGTCGCTCTGCTGTGCCAGGTCCTCTTGTAGGAGTGATAGAGAAACCAGAAAGGACAGATATGTTCTTTGTGCTCCAGGCCTCCTGGTCTGGGTGCAGACAGACATCAACAGTGGCTAGAATACAAAACTAACTCCAGTGGGTGAGAGAGGAAAGACATAAACATCCTCACTAGGAGCCCTGCGGGAGAGAGAACAACTCTTCTGGGAGGATCTGGGAAAATTTCCTAGAAGAGATGTGGTGTAAGTTGGATCCCACAGAATGGGTAGGGTTTTAACAGATGGGAAGGAAAAATGGTGGAGAGGACTTTCTAGGGAGAATGGACCAATTCATCATATTTTGACACCACAATCACATAGAGAATTATGGTGAAATAGACACCCAAAATATATCAGTGAAAAATATGTTGTTATGGAGATTATAGTCAGTAATCCACTTTTTTTTTTTTTTTTTTTTTTTTTGAGATGGAGTCTCGCTCTGTCGCCCAGGCTGGAGAGCAGCGGCATGATCTCTGCTCACTGCAACCTCCGCCTCCTGGATTCAAGCCATTCTCCTGCCTCAGCTTCCCGAGTAGCTGGGACTACAGGCGTGCACCACCATGCCCAGCTAATTTTTGTATTTTTAGTAGAGACGGTGCTTTATCATGTTGGCCAGCATGGTCTTGATCTCTTGACCGCATGATCCACCCGCCTCAGCCTCCCAAAGTGCTGGGATTACAGGCGTGAGCCACGGCACCCAGCGAGTAATCTACTTTTAAAAAAAACTATACATGTATACTGAATATACAAGTGATAAGAAAGAGGAATAAAATCGGCCTTTATTCTGCTTGCTAAATGTCTACTATTCAAGTTTTAAGAATTACACACACTGGTAGCTATTGTTTCTATTCATTTCAGAGCTTCTAATTGCTGCTATGGGGTCTCAATGAGAAAGAAGGGAAGTGGGGAGGAGGCAATGAAAATGCATGAGATTTTCAGGAATGCCAACAATGTGAAGTTGGAATCCTACTCTAACTACTTTCATTCATTCTTCCAAAGGTGACGGTGGTCTGTTGTGTTCAAAAGGAGCTGGAAGAGGAAAAGCAGTTTTAAGATAGCCCAAGGGACGGCAACTTAATGCCTCCCTAAGGAGAAACCACATGGGCTGTGCTGGTGGAGAGGATAATAATAGCAATAATAAAAATAAAAAAGAGTGTAGAGGTGGGGTGGCAAGGGTGGGGAAGGAGTCCTGATAACTTGGAATGAGGTGGGAGGAAGAGGTGGAGGTAACCTTTGCAGGTGTTTAAGGAGGATTTGTAAGGGATGCAAAAATAAGGACAACTGAAGCTGTGAGGCGGGATACAGGAACATATCCAGTGAGCTCCCAGGAATAATGGAGAGCACACATTGCATCATCAGGATCACTGAGACCCGAATCCTCTGGGGAAGTCATGTCTTTTTTGTACTAGATGTTTTGAAGCTTGAGCTGGGGCGGGGGGTGAGGCGGGGAGAGTGAAAGAGGAGGGGAAAATCACTGGGAAAAATTAAGCAGTCTGAAAGGAGGGTAAGATTATGAAGATAAATGTTTACATCTCTGCTGCATTGTATCTCTTGAAATGAAACTGTTTTTGAATAGTGCTGCATCTGTACTGTAAGAACGTGGGCATTGTGAACAAATTGACTGCCTCAGATGATTTGACACATTTTGATTTCTGCTTAGGAAAATATCTGTTAATCCTATTAGATAGAGTAGGAGAGGGTCCTGAGCAGGAATGCAAAAGATCAAATCCTTCCCCATCTTGTGCACACTCTCCCAATGCCAAGGTATTAAAGTCTCAGCTATTTCCAAAGACCCGGTGCCTCATCCCTGACCTGCTTGGCATTACATCAAAATCCATTCTTCTCCACCTTCCCATCCTTGCCTGGCAATAGCTAAAATCATGACAAAAGTGGATGGCTGCCCTCTTTCTCTGGCAAGCTAAAGCAGAAAAGCGATCTTATTTTATGCTTTCCTCTTCACGTAATTTTGCTTCCTTTCTTCCATCCTTCTTCCTATTCTTTTCTTCCTTCTCCCTCTCTCCCTTTTTTTTTTTTTTTTTTTTTTTGTCTTCTTTATGTGGCTTGCTGTTTGCTAATATCCAACTCCAGACCATTCTTTGTGTTTGGCAAAGGAAGCAGTTTTATTGTTTGGTAACTCCAGGGGGGATATAGTGTCTATGATGTTGTCTAGGCCAAACCTCCCCCAGGAAGGTTAACTACCTCTACCCTACTCTCAAAAGGGAAAGGATGGCAACCACACACTTGAACACCAGCCATTCTCTTTTGTGAGAAAGTGGATCTGTTCCTGCCCAGAAGTACTTTTTCTTTCCACAGTGGTGTAACTCAATGTTGCAATGCAATTAATTTACTGAGATCAGGACAAGTTATCTGGAATCTGAATCTATAGAGTGCACATTAGGAATAAGGGCAACAGAAGACAATTTTTTTTCCTAACGACTTTCTGAGAAAAGGTTCTTCTTGGAGCAACACCCAAGTCTGATCAAAGAGTCTGTTCATCTGTCTCAAGAGCCAACGCTGAAGCCCAGCATGGAGCTAAAAATATGCACTCACAGTCCTAGAAAATTGTATTCATTAAACTCTACCTACAGGTCCTCACCCAGAATCTGCTCTATGCCAAAGCAGCGTGCTGCTGTTAATCCTCCTTTATAGATTAGGCAGTAAAATAAAGAGGGTGGGGCTGAAATGCAGGGGAAGTCTGCACACGTGTTTGGAAAAGAAGAAAAGGAAAAGCACAGGGAATTCTTGTTCTCTCCTTCATGTTCCGAGTTGCCAGGGTTGTCCAGACACCACCGAGAGACACAGGGCTTTTTAGCGTTCACTGTATTTTCACTTCCACCGGGTAAGTGCTACATGTAAAATGGAAATTTAGAGACAAGATCAAATAAATGCCTTTCAAACTGTGGCACACTGTTATTTTTGGATCCCCTCCTTCTTTGTGTGTTAAGAAGGGAATAATAATAATCATAGCTGACATTGAGCACTTACTATGTGCCAAGCACTGTGGTAAGTTGTTATTTACATAATCTCATTTCATTCTTCAAGATCTCTGAGCTAGGTGCTTGTGTTGCCACCATTTTGCAGATGATGACATTACAGTTTAGAAAGGCAAAGTAACTTGAGCAAGTAAGTGGCAAAGCTGGGATTTGAACCCCAAGCTTCCAAAGCCTTGCTCTTAACGTCTATGCCACAAATATGCCATATCTAAATACTTCCCTTAAAAGTATGTTTTTTGGTTTTCATTTATGATTTTCGTGACTGCTCCTTAATAACAGTTCCACTATTATCTTAATGTTTACCATCTTCTGCAATCAAGTGATAGGGTTCCTTGGAAGCCGGAAGTGTGTTCTTCCTCACCCTTGTATCCCCTGCAGCTCTTAAAGCAAAGTATCTTGCACAGAATAGGAGCTAAATAATTATTTGTTGAAATGCACTTTACATTATCTCTGTATCTAAATAAAACCCATCTAAACAAGTCCACTTCCCAAACATTGGGGTTTTCCTCCTCTTTGTAGCCATCCCTTTCTTCTTGTTTTGTTTTCGAAAGGTTGATTTTGAACTGGAGGGACATTGCAGTTGTCTTCTCACTTAGCGGGATTTGAAAGTGAGAGTCTGTGTAGTGTTTTAGCCTGCCCTCAGCAATCAGGCCTCACACTCGCGAGGCTCTGATTGTAGGAGTTGCCTTATTTGCATTGATGAGGATGAGCCAGCTGCTAGAGCATACAGAACTGCACCTGACACAATCACCGAGTTCAGGATTAGCACGGGGAATCAGGAATCCACTGCGCTGGCTGCGTGGCAATCTCAGCCCTACATTAGAGTCACTCATGCAAAATGACCCAAATTTGCAATGAGCACAATTAGCAATCCAAAGATGCATGTTAATTTGGGTGCCTGATATTTTCTTACATTTCCCTAAATTAAAAATAATAAATACACTCTTTCCTAGACAAGTCTGGGCATGAAAACAATTCAGGGGATTATGAGTTTGTAAAAAAATGTGCAAACCCCAGAAAATGTGGATTTCTTTGGGTAACTAGCCACTGCCCACCCCCCTCCCCCCCGAAGTATTAAGTCTGGCATCAAATAGGGTAAGAGCTTTGTGGTATCATGCCCCTTTTTCATCAGTAGAAAACAACTATTTACAAAGAAAAAAATAATTATAGCTATAATAGGCAGAAAAGAAAAATTTAAGCATTAAAGAAAGGATCTGATATTTTAGATTATATACTAATATTTCTGAGATTATGTTTGGGTCACACATAACCACAGATATACTCAACTGTTTCAGAATTTACTAAAAGTACAAGAGATTGTGTTGAATTTTTATTAAACAGAGTTTATAAATCAAATTGAACATTCTCCAACTCTGGGCTGTGTTTCCATATGTTTGCAATCTATAGGTATTGAAATGCTCACCTATACTTTAGGAAAAAACAAACCACAACATTTTGCAAAGATTGAATAAATGATCATTCGAAGCAAAAGCATGCAGTTCAAAAGCTAAACCTCCCATTGGAGAACAGAAAATTTAATGAGCTTTTAATGGAATGCAATGCTCAGAGTAGTAAATTATTTGTTAGTTGACGATGCAATCAGCATGCTGATTAAGGTTGCTTGGTTTTTTACTAAACATTAACTGAATGAAAACGGGTAGTCCTTGTTCTGCTTGGGGGGCTTTAAGGAAGCAAATGGACTTTCAGAACAGAGATTGTCAATAAAGGTGAGTGCACTCCAGGTGTCATTTGAATATGATGATAAAATACTAGTGATAAATATTTAAAAGCATTTTAAATCCACAATGTTCGCCTAGGGTATTATGGACTCTGTTTAAAGAAACAGTGGGCCTTAGCAGGCCTAACAACAATCCCTCTACCTCTCTCTAGAAAGAAATATCTAGATCTGCTTTCTTTTATTACAAAAGAAAAAAGAGGGGTGGGTATGCTTTGAAAATATGAACCAGCATGGATGCAGAAACCAGGAACGTTTGGGAGTTTGGAATGTAAACCTAAAAAGAGACAAAAAGGACAAAAATCAAAACAAAGAAAAACTATTCTGACAGCAAATAAAAGAAACATCTGTTTCTCTGGATAGATTAAGATACAAATTTAATTACGCAGTTTCAATATTCCAATGTTTAAAAATAATTGCTATTAGAATATATATATTTAAATTTATAAATGATGGCATTCTGAGGGCAAGAAATATTGTGATATGGAGTTATATTCTGTCTAATTTAGAGGGTCTGAAAAGGAACAAAGAAAAAGAACAAAACTTGGAAATACCTTATATAATGCTTATTTTTGTTGTTTCATTGTTAATACAGAATTTATTTTTAAAATCATTTACTATATATTAATCGATATGTACATTAGTCATAAATTATTGATTTTGAGAGAGATTTTGTTACTGTTTAAATTGCCAGATTTATTTCTCTCCCAAAAGAGGGGTTTTTAGTTTGTTTTTCTCCCTACCAATTGAAGAATTGTGGGTTTGTAGGTTAATTTTCTTTGAACAGCTACAAAGTTCTTTTTCTATAAATCCCAATTAGTTTCATCATCGGTGATTCTGTGGCAATGATCAGGTACCCTTAAAATCCGATAAATAACTACCTCTCACTTTTAACTATTCCTGTTTATGACCCAAGAGGTTAAAAGCCTTTGACTGGCATTTGACTTCTGACCTCATATAAATGTTATCTTATCAGTTCCTGCTTGTTAACTTGTATTGAGTGCTTGTCCCTGATGGCTTTTAGATAAAGGGTTGTGGGGTTTTTCCTTTTTTTTCTTTTTAGTATATTTCCTATAGGAACTAAACCATTTGCTTTGTTCTTTGCCTAGTGCAGTCAAATCTGCTCAGTAACCTGCTATAAATCTATTAGAAAGAGCCAAATACGCTTTTATTTATTTCCTACATTATTTTTAGTTTAGCTTTATGGATGGAATTTTATGATAAAAATATATTTATTATAATTAATAGTATTAATTACTGGTGAGCTTAATCTTTTAACATGTTTGTCAGGAAGCTGGTTAGCTTAGTATTTTCTCTTTTTAAAAAAATATTAAAAATTTAAAAAAAATTTAGCTTTGCATTTTGCACCAGCATGAGATGAGTTAGAGAGATAATTTATGGAAATCTTGTGTCCCCAGACTTCAGAAGGCTGGCTAATGAGAGAGTCATCAGTAAGATATATCTTTTTTAAAACATCGAATCCAGACCATGAACAGTGCATTTTCTAACCTTTGGGGAGAAAGGTGGTGGCCTGGCGCTTTCCTTTGCCCTTCTGTTCTAAGAATTAAGAAGGATTTTGGCCTTTTATTCCATTTACAGCTGTGTGTGTTGTTCACACATTCAAGTGTGTATGTATGTGAGTCTAGTCACTATGTACAAACCTAAATACATTTGAATGTTTGCATTTTAATCTCTTTCCATACCTCGATGGCATCATGAGGGTATTCTGGGCAGATGTGGGTGCCTCAGAGCCTGCCTCATTTGCAAATGACCTACAATGTGATTTCTAAACAAAATATTACATTAATTTTCATGTGGAAAACAGGCAGTAAGGAGGGGGAAGAAGGAAGAGGCAGCCATCTTGGAGTCGTTTTGCCTTTTAGCCTCATTCTTTCGCCTCCTAAGCCTCGACAGTTAGAATATTATCTTTATTTTTAATTGGCCCTCAACATAAAGCAAGAGGCATATACAAGAGACCTTTGTATTCACGTTTAGAGTAGAAGGAAAGTTGTAACCTCTTGGACTTTAAATAATAACTGCTACTATAGCCAAGCTACACCTATTATTCTCTAACCTTCTAAATAAATATACATATAAATGAAGCATATGCCACAGCTTGTAAGAGACCTGTACAAAACTTATTAAGAGAAACAAATGTCTATTTGGACCATTCATTTACTGCTATCTAAAGAATTAATATGTCAGTAAAGTTATCTGCCCTTCCTCCTCCCCATTCTTTCTTTTCTCCCCAAACACACACTCACATGCACGCACATAAACACGCGCATTCAGACACCCCCACTATGGAGAAATGGCAACCCTGGAAACTTTTTTTTAAACAGGAATTCCCTTTCTCTTAGGTCATAGGTATTTAAGAAAGAGAGAGAGAGAAACAGAAACAGCTTTTACGTTTTATTTTATTTTAATTTTCTGTGTGTGGAGAGCAGCTATGGCTCCATAATGTCCCAACCCTGCTTTCATCATGCTCATATTCTGGCAACACACAGGTTTGATGCAATTTGTTCTAACTTTTCATTTCAACCATTGCTTTTCTCAAAGTGGTCAGAGTTTAAAGACTGCAAAAGCAGAGGGAAAAGAAATACCACGGCAGGGGGAAAAAACAAACCAACCCCCAAACTGGTGCTGGTATTCAGTGCATTGACACATTCTCAAATGTTTTCTCTGTAGTTATAACACAAAAGCGCTTTCTTCCCTGTTTTGATGTGTTAAAGACGGAAAGAGAGAGGACACTTCGAAGTGGTAAAATAAGTATTTGGAAAGCACAGGGAATGTATTTGTCTTTTGAATGTCCAGGATGTGTCAATAACGTGTTGATACTCTACCATTTAATATTAATTAAATTTTTAAAAATGGAAAAGAGATGAAAAGTTAAATTTAGGCACATTGTCTCTCATACGCCGAACTTTTAGCTATCAATGTTGCCTTCTGTTTTGTATAATTAGAAGTGCATCCAAAGCCAGTCACTTTACTATCTATAAAATAAGGATAACAAGGATGCTAAGTCCCTCTGAGAAGGGTGTGAGTGGATCAATAATACATTATTGTCTAATTTTGACATTTGGCAGAAGAAACCATAAACTTTTACTCCTGTAATGTCAGTAATCTGAACGAATTTTCCTAAGCAATATTATTTGCAGATTCTTTTACTGAGTGAAACAAATAAGAATTTGAAAGACAAAGATGACCTGGTTCTTAAACACTGGCTCCTATCTAAGGACCAAAATCTCTGAATTGAATCCCAGAGTCCTTTACAATTGTACTGTGTACCCCGGCTTTTTTAAAAAGATTTTAAAATGTAAGCTAGATGATTTCAAAACTGATGAAAGTTATGCCACCATTCTTACTTATATCTAATTCATGTTTTAATAGTCATAAGTTTTAGTATACCTAGAGTACAAAGAAGTGTTTACTTAAACCAGTTTCTATACCAGTAGAAACTAACTCCCCCAGAATATTTTTGATGTAATTATTTAAAATCATTTTAATTAGAAGAACAATAAGATGATAGGAAATCAAGGCCCTCGGGTTTTCTGTATGGCTGTATCATCCAGCTTCATAAAGTTACTTAACGAAGTATTTTAAAATATTGTTTATATGAATGTAAACTTACCCTAATTATATACTAAGAAATGTAGTCCATTTGATTTCTTCCCATTCCTGGCCTCAAAAATCAAACCTGCTCTGTTTGGAAAAAGCTGAGTCTTCTGTGATATCATGGACCTTTTTATATTTCAGCAAGGAAGTGGAGGTCATGGAGTCATAAATATCAAAATTTTCAGGACCCAAGCTGTAAGGTTTTATCCTTTCCTTTGTGAAGGCTGATGCAGATGGATTTCTAATTTCCTTTGATTTCTGTCCTCTTGTCTGTGTGTTTTCTTTATTTGTATAAATTGCATTGTCCTTTCTATAAGAATGTTTGAGCACACTCTCCCTGATAGATTCTCATTCTCACTCCCCTCAGCTTGTTTGAGGTTTAGAATGGGGGTGCTTTTCCTTATTTTAAAAGCTTTGCAATTTAGACTCCGAGAGCCAGGACTGGTTTTCTATCCATCGGGACCTGCTCAAAGGTCACACTCAAGATCATAAGCCATGTTCACATCCTTCTTATGGGAAAATGATAAAATAATATCCACAGGCATCTGATACTAGGGGCATGGCCTGGACACACACCTTGCCCTCTTCCCCTTGGCCTTGTCTGCCTTGAAGAATGAATAGATCCATCCCCAAAGTTGATGCTTCGAAGTGACCAGTCAGATGCTAGCAGGTCAGCTGGCTATCCTCTTGGATAGAGGGTCCATAAATTAAAGAAATGTTGGTGTGGTTGAAAGAGGAAGGTAGTCCAGCCCAAGGGAAGTCACGTAAATCTCTCCAGGAGCTTTGTTCCCAGTAGGGAGTGGGGGTGAGAGTTGGGGTAGCTCGGGGCTGTGGGCTGTTATTAATGCCCTGGCCCTCCTGCGGTGGGTGCTAACTTGTTGTGCATGAGAGCTGCCACCATCCTTCCCAAACATCGGGCGCTTGGAAAAGTCAAGCACAGTTGAGCCCTGATTTTCATTTAATAGTCAAAACCAAGATGCATTTGGGCTATGATGATAGGACAGCTCCCTTGAAAAGATTATTTGAACTACAAAGGCATTCATTTAGGGCTAGCAATGTTGCAAAAGGGCCCGCTAGAAATTAGCAGCCTGTCCTGGTATTTGGAGAGCAAGAGTGACAACTTATTGGAAGTTCTCAAGGAATCATTTATATTTCACACTCCACTAGGCAGCTGATTTGAGATTGTCTGTTAGCATAACAAAGGCTCTGAGCCTGTGAACTTCAGAAACCTTTCGACCTCTTAGCTGCTGGCATGAATAGCCCCCAGTCCTGCCTATAGAGATCTCCCAAAGCTCCCCTGTTCGTGGCTAAATTGTTAATCAGGGTAATTTAATATAGTTTTCAATATGCCTCATCTCTTATTGGGAAAGGTATTCACAGCTTCCCTACCCCTGAAAAAAAAAGTTCTTTTATTCAAGTGTGAGAGGGGCAGCTGCAGACAGACCCCCATCCCTTGCTTCTCCCCCTACTCCTTCACAGCAGCAATGTTCTGAGCAGCAACCATAGAGAAGGGCCAGAAAGAGAAACTCAGAACGACGATCCCATCCCCTGGCATGCACTCCACCCTGAACCTGAAACTTCAGCCTATTTATGCTGGGAACCGCCAAAACAAAAACCCAAGGCTCAGCCATAACTGAAACCTCAGAGTCACACACACACACACACACACACACACACACACACACGCCACACCTCCTTCTCCACCCTCCCTTCACCAACACCCTGCCCCTCCCCCCTCATCCCAACTAAGCTTCTCTTGTGTTTCTGGACAAAACGCACCAGACCCCAAGGCCTGTTAATTTTCATTTCTCACTCTGTCCAGGCAGCCCACACCGTCCTGCACGCTCCTTCACAGAGTCACACTCGGCCTGGCCCCTGCATCAACTCCCGGTGTCATATACACTTGCTCTCGCCTGCTCCCTCGCACACTATCAATTCACATGCACATTAGTTAGCTGAAAAGAGCCGGAGCACAAATATATTCATTTTAATCCAGTTAAGACCTAAGAGGTCTCCTAGGATATTATTCAATAGTTTGAAAACTAAGTATAAAATTCAGATTTTGCTACGCTGTTTCATCTCACAGAGGCCTACAGTATGCCTTTCTTTCACTTTATACCATGTGTGTATTCTAAAAAAGTAAAATAAAACCGAATAAAAAAAAAACAATCACAGGCAAAATACCCAGCTTCAGGCAGGCACTATGCTCAAATATTATTATCTTTTTAATGACTGTTTCTAGTACCCATGTGCACATCAGAATAGCAATTTTATACAAAGAAGGAAAAAGTATGAAGTCACTAATTACATTTTTAAAAATTAAAAATAAAAGGATACAATCTCTTAAACTTATTTTCTCTTTCTTTTCCACGTGAGCATTTTAAGGCATCTCTAAAGCATGTCTGAGTGTTTCTGGGTTCCTTTGGTGGTGGTTTTCTGTGTAATTGGTGCTCTGTCTTTGTGCGAGTTGAGGCTCTGTGTGTTGCTTCTTTCTGGAACAGCCATTTCTCGCTTGTGCCCCGTTTTGGTTAGTGTGTCTGTCTCTCAGCCTCCTGAAGTTGGATAAAGGCAGGATGTAGTGCCTGAAGTATTTTCTTTGATTTTTCTCTAGTTAGAGTAGTCCCTGATGGGGGTTGGGAGATTTCTTCACTCACTTGGGTTCCTAATCTAGAATCTGAAAACTGCTGGGAGGTGGGAGACCAATTTCTATTTACAGCATCAAGGAAAGGATTATTAAACCTCCAAAATCAGAAGTACAAACATAGATTTACACTTAATAAAACAAGACAAAACAAACAGCCTAGCTTCTTTCCCAAAATAATTTTTTTTGGAATTAAAAAAAGATTAAGAAATAGGTTTACTGCCCAATTTTAATATCTAAACAATGCCCAGAGGTGACATGTTAAAACAGAAAATAAAATAAATGTATCTGGTGGTTATATTATATGGTAATCCTAAAGACTGCATTTTCCTTTAAAAAAAAAAAAAGGAATCTGACAGTTTTAATTTCAACGTTGTGGAAGTTTTTAGATTATAAATGTTTTTGCCAATAATCTGTGTATTATTCATGTTAATGATGTGCTTTTTGGTTTATTGTATATTGTAAGTAGTGATTTTCATTTTCTCAGTGTTTTAAACCAAAATATTTTAAAAACATTAATTGTTATTATAAATTGATGGGTAAATATGGCTGGTTTCTTTTATTAAAAGCCAAAAATATGAAGTTGTTCATATATAAATATCACAAATTCAACTTTCAGAAGGTGCTTAGAGTAAAAAAATTATGGCTTTAAGCCCAAGAAAGAAAAAATACACAATTTGCATTTTTTCAATGCTTTTGCTTAACATTTTTTTCATTAGGTTTTTTCCTCATTAGAATTTATGATCCATGTCGATCATTACACTTTCACATTTCTGATTTCTGTTAAATTTTCTGACAGAGGCTAATAAATATAAAAGAGTAAAAAGGCCTATTTGCTTTCATCTAAGGTGCTCAATATTTTCAGGTTATTTGTATTTGCATTGAAATCTTTTCCATGTTCTTAATTTAAATTATTAAAATTTGACTGAAACTAATTCTATTTGAAGCTAAGATGTAACAGGGTTTTTTTTTCCCAAGGAATTAAACAATGTGATTTTGCTAAATTATAACATTTTCTTTGGCTTGAGCCATCTAACACCCTCTCCAACATGGCACAGTTTGGGCTTCATATTTGTGGAACAAGAAGGGTTGGGGGGAGAAGGATGTATATTTGGAATGGTGTTTGACAGGGAGAATGAACGCAGACACCAGAACAATTATATTACAATCCCATTGGGAATGCCAGCACCAAATTTAGCCAGACTGATGGGGTACTGTCTAGACGGTCCCTTTTGTGTATCAGCTGTTTTTTCCCTGCTTTATTGCACTGCCTGAATGTGTGAGTTGAACATGCATATGGATCCCAAGCATAACCATTCCTGCAACCATACACTGCTATTAAACTTCCTCTCATTTGGCTAGGAATCAAAGGTTGTGTATTCCTACTATATTCCCTTTATAATATTTTGTAATTAAAATGCAGCTTCCAGATTAGTGGCTTAACAAAGGTCATAAGACAAAGTAGAAGGTGCCTAGGCTCTTTCTTTATATGAAAAAAAATGTACAAATATACTAGGTAAACATTTCTATCTTCTCAAACATGTCCACCTCTTTTCTATACAAGTAAAAAGAAGCCAGAAAGAAAGGAATTAAAACAATGAGAAGAAAGAAGCACAGTACATGTAAATTACCACCTTTCCTTTTGAAAAGGGCAAAGGATAGAAAGAAAGAATATTTATTTAATGTTTACAGTGTAATTAATGGCAGTGTTTGTGGTTTTCTTTTTTTTTTCTTTCTCATCTTTATTTGGTAAACCAAATGGAGTTCAGTAATCAGTTCTTGTGAAGTCTTAGAAATGGATTTTCAAACTCTTTTAAATACACACTTACACAATTGCTTTTGTGTTGTTGAGCATATAGGAAATCCTAGAGACATCTCAGATCTGGGCAACTGTCAGGATTTTGTTTTGTTTGTCAAGATGGTGCAGGAAGGGTAGAGCTTACTTATATATGAATACAGTATCCACATAAAACATTCGTTGTTCAAAGGGGCAGAAATGCACCCCTAAATAGGAAGCGCACTCCACGGGTGATGGGTACTAAGGTTGGATGCCTTTGCTCACAACCAAGAATTTGAAACGAACTCAAATTCATTATTCCAATTAGAAAGTGAGAAATAGAATAATGCATTAATGTTAATGAATGTAGGTATAAGATCCGCCTCTTTCTGTAAAAGTTTATCAGCAACTTTGTCTACAGTCACCAAAAATTGAAAGGTATGAGAAATTGGAATTCCACAGGATGTAAGTCATTATAAATAAAATTATTGTCTTGTAGTAGGATCCAAAATGAATCCACTGTTTCAGGAAACTGGATCCCACATTTCATAGCACAAATAAGTTTTGTTAATATGTACACACAAACTTTGTTTGGAAAAGGAATTCTACTTTCCATTTGCTGAAATTGTTATCCCTTAGTAAGGAGAAGAGGCAAAAGTTTTACCATAAAGAAAAAAAATCAAGGTTAAAAGTGATAAGAAAAAATTTGTACAGTTACATCCTTGTTTCATGCATTAAATTTTGTCTGACTAAATGGTGGAATTTAGATTTTTAAAATAATAATTTTCTATGCTTTGCTGCTGAAATTTAATAACTACCATCTACTATGGACAACGAAGATTTTATTCATCTTTTGAGGACTGGATATTGAAGAGAGGTCTGTAGGAAAGATAAAGTAAATTGTATTCCCAATTTTACTGAACAGGGTAAGACAAGAAGTGATCTATTTTTTGGTTTGAAACATTATATCAGCAAATCCACAATCATAAAATATGACCAGTGACACAGGATTGGGGAAATTCACTGTCTGGAAGAGGGGAGGAGATTGAACAAATGACATTAAACATGGAGACCTTGAGTAGGCACTTGTAGGCATTGGTGTTAGCAATCTCTGAGGCCTAACTTTGGTACTATTAAGAAAAAATATAACCAAAGGCAGGGGCAGAGGGCAAAAGAAACCAAGACTGAGAAACAGAGAAAGCAAGAGGAAAATGGTGGTGGGTGGGTGGGTTGGGGGTGGGTGGCATGCAGGGGTAGTGAGAGAGAAAGAAAGAAAAGGGGAGCAGAGAATGAATATTCTAAGCATTGTTTTAATCTAAAACAGAGACGCTTCCAGGAGAATGAATTTCAATGGAGCTGAGCCAAAAATAATTATAGAGATTTTCTTGTTTTGTTTTGTGAATGAAGAGCATCTCTTTTCCCTGGAGATGCGAGAGTGAGAAAGAACCAGAGCCAAGAGATTGAAGTGATGCCCCTCTGCCCCTTTACTTCCACACACCACAGTGGCAGACCTTTCTTTCTTCCCTTTTCCAAAAGCTATTGGCACCGAATTGTGCTAGGAAGAGAGGGACGTGGCAGCAGCCCTCAAACCTTAGCTGGGTTTTCTATTCTAACAATAGCTTGTTTACTTGATAAGGCTGAAGTATTGAAATTGGAAGCAAGATTGGGGTTGGGGGGGAGAGTGATACATATTTTAGGTTCTAGAAATAAAATTGAGCTATTTACAACTAAGAATATTCCCCTATTTGAGATACTTGAAACTTCCTTTGGAGTTTGTTTTACCAATTATATTTGTTTCCTTGTTTTTCATCATCAATAGCAAGCTACTAAAGGAAATAAAGTATTCTCTCAATTTTCCTCCATTTTCTCTGTGATGTAAAATCTTTATCTTGGAACTTTTTTTACAGGGAAAAATTGTCATTTGTTAAAATAGCTTGAGCTATGACTGAGTTGTTGTGAAAGCAATATAATATACTCTTCATGAAAGCAGGAATAAAAGGCTTTATACTAATATGAAATACACAGGATTGGAGGAGAAACCCACTAACATTAATAGACTTTTGTGACAGAGTAATCATAAACAACTCAGAATTAATACCTAAAGACTATTAATTTTCTTAAGTTAAATTGACTTACATAAAAATCACACCAGTAAGTACTGTCAGAACCTGGATATTCTCTCCAAATCTCTTATTTTAGGTGTTATGTTGTGTTAAAGACCCTGTTGTCATTTTTATCATTCAGAGATATTAATTCTACAAGTAGGTTTAAGGTATCACTTTTGTCTTTGTGTTGTTGCCTGAGTTTTTTTTTTTAAATATATTTCAGAAACTTAAGAACCAGTTCTTTTCCTCTACATCATATTTCACAACTTGTACAAATTAACATTTATTCTTATAAATATTTGACCTGCTAAGTTTTAACAGTTTAGTGACCCAGTAGAAGAACAGCATAGAGTTGTAAATTTAATGGCTTAACACCAAAACGACCTTGATATGGATTAAAAACAAGAAAAAGTATTTATGTTATATTTGTAGCCAAGATTATCGATAGGCTTAAGGATAAACCTCTCAGAAAGTAGCAAAACTGGATATATTTTCCTTTAAAAGTTTTACATCTTAAAATTGTTCCTGTTTTTCTGTCAAAGAACTATTAACATATATAGTAGTTAGCAGTAAAGATATATGATTTTATTACGTAGATACTTTTTTTATTTTTTAAAGATGAAAAATGTCTTCATGTACGTGGGACTTTATTTAGGGATTTCCAAACATATTTTAAATGTCACTGTGAATATATTGTGTAAATCTGTGAATATGAGCTTTATGAATCCACATTTAATTTAATTAATCATATTGATTCACTTGACATTTTTCTCCTCCTGAATCCCTCCTCCCCGCTTTTTTTCATCTCTCTATTAAAAGCATTTCTTTCACAGTGGTAGACTAATTTTTGAAAAGGATTTTACAAAATAAAACTGACAATGGTTTTTGAAGAACTTTTAAAAGCATTCAACTTAGATTTTTTTTAGGAGTGGTTAAATGAGTATTTTAGAATTCAAAGTACTTAATTACACTAATCTTAACATTATATTTAAAAACCCAATCCCCCTAATGAGTAGTCGACTTTTTAAAGAGAACAATTATTAATAATCACTATGCTGTATGCCAAAATAAATGTATGAAATTAGCAACAAATATTTATCTTTCCATGTTTTAAAAGAAAACATTACCTTTTTAAAAATAAAATAGCTTGCAAAGTAGCAACAGATTTAATAATATTTTTCCATTCAAAATCTCAATAGATACAATTTCAGAATTTATGTTTGGTTATGCTGTATCATTAAAATTGCCAAGAGAAAATGTTAGTCTGCTAAAACATTTAGAATATGGTATATAATAATTTGTTATTAATGGCAATGTAATATGTCACACTAACATGTGTATTTACTATCAAGCTCTACAATTGATTAGAAAATGAGGAGATAAAGATAGATTTACAATGGATAAATGTCCCAAAGATGTTAATGATAATAACTAAGCAAAAATGAATACAGAGCCTTTGGTATGCACACCAAGGTTTCTATATTTCACAAGAGTATACAGATATATGTATACAGGTATGTGCAATATAGATAGATTTGTCATTATTTTAACATTGATCATCATATAATAAAATGGATTTTTAAAGGTTCTATCTTGACAAATTCTTTTCTACACCCAAATTACTAAACCAGTTTTAGAGTTTAGTAACTCAAATTACTAAACGCAGAAAAGTTGCATTTCATTTGAAAGCAACCATGGAAATTGCCCCAAAGGTAGTCTTATTTGTTTGCTCTTTTCATTTTGTAGTGGTATGGAGTCCAGTATATGGCTGTAGGGAGGAGGAAGTAGCAAGAAGCAATTGAAAGGATTAGGATGGAAACTTCCTCGAGCTTCACAGGCTTGTTTGCTGGCCACAGATGCCATTATGGTATATAGATAAGATATGCTTAATATTCAGACTTTAAAAAGAGCCTCCACACTCCTGAAAATTCTGAGGCAAAGCTGAGCCTCTTTCTTTAGGCCATATACTTCACTCCCGTTGGCCCAGGAAGCCTGGCTAAAGATAGTCTCATCCAGCTCACATGCTTGGGTTTTGTCATTTCATGTCATAACCTCCACATTCCTTAAATGTAGTTATAAAATGTGTTAAACGGAAATGCTGATATAAGCCTAAATGTAGCTGTACTTGCTGTTTCTGCTGTAACTTCATTCATGGTAGTGGATTTAGTTAAAAGGCCCAGAACAGCCATGCTTAACAGTAAGGAAGCAAAATCCTCTTGGCTTCAATGAGGGTTAGGAGTATGTAAGAGCAGAATGAACACTAGATATTTGAGATAAATACCTTCTGTGGAAATGTACACATTTCATTGATGTCCTCTCTAATGTATAGAAAAATATGCCACATTATGAATAAAGCCCCATTTGCTTTTTTTCCTATATTAAATGCTATCTTATATATCTTGAACACATGTAATATGCGGTAACATTTATGATAGTAATAGCCGACACCAAATAAGAACTGTTAGTGATCCTTGGTGTCTATTTAATCATAATCAAGGACTACCTGGTAAGCATTAAGTGACAATAAAGGGTATTCTTGCTAAAATATTAGATGAATTGGTAATAGAGAAAATGGTCATTTAGACAGAAAAGTCAACAGAAAATAGCAGTAATTATATGTGCCTTGTACACGAGCATACTGTATTACATTCAATGTACCATTGTACAATGTGCTATTATGAAAAAAAAAAAGCATGGTACCTCTCTTTGGTGATACAGCTGCATTTGGAAGTTTCCCAGATCACAACATTTAGCTTTCACAAATGCTTTTTTGGTAGAATTTCCCCTCCCAGTTAAAAACTGGTTTTCATCACACAACTGGATAATTATTTTTCTGCAACTAACTGTAATTACTTGTTTTGTGCATCTCTACTAGAGTGATTCAGTGTTTGCTGTTCTACCTCATAAAATGTATCTGCATTAGAGGCATGTGAAAAGGAGTATTGACCTTATATAATATATTGCTATATTGGTAGGGGCACACAGCTCTAATTCTTTGTAAAGGGCACAAAAGTCTATATTGCTTTGAGTTTTCCTTTTTGAATGCTATGTGAGTTTTCTGACTAAAGCATAAAATTGGAGGTATCTGAAGACCAGAAACCTCACAACATGGAAATTACTTAGTACACAAAAAGACTTTCTCTCATATAGAGATACAATGCATAACTGAATAAAAAATGCTGTTGGAGGGATTTGTTGATAGTGGCATCATAGAAAACTCTGGAATCATTGATTGTGAGATTTGTCAAGCCAGAAAATCAGACACAGATTTTAAATCATTCAAGAATATCTAATCATTTTATGTCATTCACAAAGCTCTCCACAAATAAAAATGAAAATTAAGCCCCTCCTGCCACAGTCTTCTTTTATCTACAACAGTCGTTCTCTTTCTGTCTTTTCCTTCCAACTCCTATTTGTCTATCGTTCTTTTTTCTTTCAAGTTCTCTTTAATCCTTGCTTTCCCATGTCCCTCCTTAGTCTTACTCACCAGTGATGCTGATAAAAATAAACAGTCTATTTAAAACAGATGAGTCAAAGCCAAAAAATAAATGACTGGTGTGTGCTTTATTATTATTTTTAAAGTAAAACTACACCTGTGACATTGTCTTAAAATTTTTTTTACAATTTTAAAAACAAACTACAAAGAAAATGGAGGAGAACTGAAATACTGTTTAGTGTCTCGAATTTATTTGTAAATATACGTAATGTTAAATGCAGTGAGACTACTTTTGTGCTTACTGATCCCAGGGTGCAGAAAGAATTAGCTTATCCAGGAAAACTCAAAGTCATAATTAGTCTTGTGAGTTATAATAATCGGGTCTCATCCTGCATTTCTTTCTCATGTGGTACTCCCAGTGGGAGTTCTGCATGAAAAAGGACTACGGGATTGGGCATTAATAATGGTATACCTGTGAAATATGAGCATTTTCCTACAGTGCCAATCAGTAAAATTAGAAATCTGCCCCATCTTGGTCTTATATCCTTCAGTTAAAAGAAGAACATCAATAGATTTTTTCAATTCCAAAAAAAAAAACACTCTTAGTTTTAAAAATGCCTCTCAAAATTAGAAAATAAAAATGAGTTTACCCCCTAACTATATCTTTTACACTTAGCTTAGTTATAAATATGACTGTAATTAATTTTTGTTTAAAAAATTAGTAACACCTCAGTTTTACATAGTTTCTTCAAACAAACAGAAACAAAAGATTAAGTAAGAAAAGAATCAATGAAACTCAGTGGAAAACTATCTTCATTCCCAAGGATCTCAGATAAACTTTCAATACTTTTTCCTAATTTGGCTATTCAGGTCTCTCAAACACTGTTGACTGACTAAGCTGACCAATCCAGCCTAAATTAAAGGGGAAAAAAGTGCAATAGCTTGCAAACCCTAAGATGTTGACGTCTTGTGAAATAGAAATATTCCTTCGAAGAATTACATAATGAGGAACTGCTAAGTAGGGTTAGAAAAATAGGCTAAATGGAATAATAGTTGTACACTCATCTAAAGCTCAATACTGCATAGCTTAATAACCCTAAAAATTTAGACAATAGTCCATGGACAAGTGAATAGATAAACAAATCATAGTATAGTCCAACAATGAAATATTAACCAGCAATACAAAAGAATAAACCACTGATACATTTTACAACATGGAAGAATCAACATAATTATTCTGAGTGAAAGGTGCTAGACAAAAATAAATACAAATCATTTATGTAACAGTCTAGGAAATTCAAACTAACGTATAGGGACAAAAGCACATCAGCAGTTATCATTGGAGAGGGTTAGGAGGCAGGAATTACAAAGAGGCATGAGGAAACTTTGTGGGGGGTGATGGATGTGTTCATTATCTTGATTGTGATAATGGCTTCACAGGTGAATACGTAGAGATACATTTAAATTATATAGTTAAATATGAGCAGTTTGTTACATATCAATTTTTACCTCAATAAAGCTGTTAAGGCCCAGCATGGTGGCGCACATCCATAATCTCAGAATTTTGGGAAGCCAGGGTGGTAGAATTGCTTAAGGGCCAGAGTTTGGGACCAGCCTGGGCAACATAGCAAGACCCCATCTCGAAAAAAAAAAAAAAAGCCAAGCATGGTGACACATGCCTGTAGTCCTACCTACTTAGGAGGCTAAGGCGGGAGGATCACTTGAGCCCAGGAGTCAAAGGTTACAGTGAGCCATGTTTGTGTCACTGCACTCCAGCCTGGGTGACAGAGTGAGACTTTGTTTCTAAAATAAGTAAATAAAGCTGTTAAATATAAATAGACCAGTTAAAATGGATATAGCAACCAATCAGAATGGATGCTAGCCAGTAACCAAAAACTTCAAACCATAAGTTTGAGTTATCTGGGCATCTGGGACCATGCATAGTTGAGTGTAAAGTTAAGGGGTGCAGCACACCAACATGGCACATGTATACATATGTAACAAACCTGCACGTTGTGCACATGTACCCTAAAACTTAAAGTATAATAATAATTAAAAAAAATTGTGGGATTCAGACTGCCCTCTTCAACCCCTCGTTGATGTTTATGAACTCTGTTTTAACTTAAAACTTTTTCCATTTTTTCCTGTTAAAAAAAGATACAGTCTTGAATGAGGTGAGCATCACGTTTTAGATTCTTTCTCTAGCAATGCTGCAAACTGTGTGACTTACGGCAAGCGACTAAACTACTGTCAGAATATGACTAGACAATTGTTCGAGGCAGAGGTAAATTGAAATATACCTTTTTCTAGAGAAAATAGAATCTCTCCACCAAGCATTTTGACTTTACAATTGTGTGTTTTATCACAACATCTCCAAAGATTTTTCTCTTCCCTTTCTTTACCACCACATGTGTGACAAAAACGGAGTGGGGGTGTTCACTGGAAGATGTTGTTAGCCAAACAGAAATTCCCTGAATATATTTGCCTATGGTGGATATCACTATGTAGGCTGATAAATTTCAATTTGTTTCAGCCAAAAATTTATTAAAATCCACAATAAGGTGCAAAAACATCTTATTGAGACTATTCTGAAATGAAGCACTAATAACTGATTTACCTAACAAAGTGTCTTGTTTGGTGCAGAGCACATAACTGAGATAACTCCAGGTTGTTATTTTTATTGTTCTATTTTTTACTTACAACTAAGTTTTTAGGTGCATAGCTTGAGCTACATCAGTCCCCATCTTAAGGGAAGAGAAAATAATTTGTAAGAACCTCAGGGACTAAGCTAAAAGTCAATAAACATATGGGAAAAAAGACTGGAAGCAAATTGAATGTATGTGCAAATTGACATTTTACTAAAAGAACATGCTTAGAACTTTGGGTTTATTAAGCATATGTCAGTAAAATCGAAACCAAAATCTATTTAGCAAGTGGAATGTATTTGTGAATGCAGAAATACATGTATTTTACATTACCTGAAAAGCAAATTTTTCCATATTATCATATTATGACTTAAACTTATCCTGATTTTAGAGATATAATATTTAAAATGTGTTGATGAAAACATTTTTATTTAGAGAATTAGGTGTATTTTGGTTTTGTAAAATGTTTGTCTTTTTGTCAGGGTCAGTCCTCATACCTCATAGTTAGGTTTCTAAATATAAGATTTGCAATAAGAAAAATGTATCATTGACCTTGGACGTGAACTTCTAACTGGTCTTATGTTGATGTGTAACTAATTCCTGCATGTTAAACCTTTATACAGTAGGTATGGTTATACTCTTTGTTTTGAATGTTTTATCAAAGTGGAAAAAAATGAGAAAAATTCAACTTCTTTTACTTTTCCTTTGTACTTTGCTCATGTCTTCTGTTTTCCTTTTTAGTGTGTTCTTTCCTCTCACCTTCCTTCACTCCTGTCACTTCATTATTTAGCTAATGATTTTTTTTCTTCTATTAATGTTGGTCAGTGACCCAGACATTGTCTTCATTCTGAAGTGAAATTGATTTAGGCAAGTCCCCTCAACTATTTCTTGACTATGCTTAGGATTAAAGAGCTCTTCAGATACATGAACTATTTCCTTTTGTTCAGTATCTGTGATATTGTTTTCTTTTGTTTAATCTCTTTGCTCAGGATTTTAGTTTTAACTAGAACCAGTTCAGTGACTAAGGAATTCAAAAAACTTTTAAGAGATTCCACCACTGCCACCCCACCTGATTTCTGATGTTCCATATAATCTAATGAAATAAGTACGCCTCCTTTCCCTTCAGACTATGTGAGAAGGGATCCAAAACCAAGCAGTCTGGAAGCCATTACACAGAGAGTTTGCCCTGTGCTTGGCTTCCCGGAACTGGGGACTCTTGCTAGAAAAACTCAAAAGGGCCTTTTGGTATTGAGATGAAGATTTCTGTCCAGGCTGATTTCTTTTCTTGGTGGAATCAACTCTCGCTGCTCAGCTGTGACTTCCTGTTCCTGAGATGCTCAGCTCAATTAACTTCTCATCCCTCCCCGGCTCCTAATCTGAGGGGAGATATAAATCAGCATCGTATTTATTATATGTTATGGCCACATTCTAGATGTCTGTATTTCTTATTAGTATATCATTGACAAAAATCTGCCCTACTCAACTCACTGTATTCTCTTTCAGATCCAATGTGATAATTTATGTGAAATCTTTCTGCAAACTATACAGTATGATAAAAATATAAGGTAGTTTCACTGGAAACAACAGAAGACTAGAAGCTGATGTGACGTGGCAATATCAACCAGGTACATATTTGTTGATTCAGGCCCTTCATACTTTTATTAGATCCTGACATCACCTTGTTTGTGCAAATACACTTTTTTTTTTTTTTTTTTTTTAGCTCAGAGAATCAGATCATTAGGTAGCATCAGTGAGTTGCTCCTTGTGGCATTTTACCATGTTAATATGGAGGTGATGTTGGGATAATTGTCAGCACCGAACCATTTGGACGTAGAGAATATTATAATTTTAAAAATCTTGTCTTCTCAGAAGAAATGTGAAAAAAGTATCTATGGTCAAGACATTTAGATGATACCTTGAACAGGTTTTATCCTCTACTACATTTCCACATACCCACTCTCCCCAAAACCTAGACTTTCTGGCTAGGTGCAATTGCCCTTGCCTGTAATTCCAGCAATTTGGGAGGCTGAGGTAGAAGGATTGCTTGAGGATAGGGATCGGAGACCAGCCTGGGCAACAGAGAGATACCCTGTCTCTACAAAAAAATTAAAAAATTAATTGGCTGGGCGCAGTGGCTCACACCTGTAATCCTAGCACTTTGGGAGGCTGAGGCGGGTGGATCACCTGAGGTCAGGGGTTTGAGACCAGCCTGACCAACATGAAGAAACCCTGTCTCTGCTAAAAATACAAGATTAGCTGGGCATGGTGGCACATGCCTGTAATCCCAGCTACTCAAGAGGCTGAGGCAGGAGAATTGCTTGAACCCAGGAGGCGGAGGTTGCAGTTAGCCGAGATTTCGCCATTGCACTCCAGCCTCGGTAACAAGAGCAAAACTCTGTCTCAAAAAAAAAAAAAAAAAAATTATCTGGGTGTGGTGGCATACCTGTAGTCCCAGCTACTTAGGGGGCTGAGGCAGGAAGATCCCTTGAGCTCAGGAGTTCAAGGCTGCAGTAAGCTATCATCATGCCACTGCTTTCCAGCCTGGGTGGCAGAATGAGACCCTGTCTCAGAAAAAAAAAAAAACAAACAAACTTTTCTTTTTCTCTCATGATCCATTAACATAAAGTCACTTTCTATTTCACTATTATAAATACTTACAAATAGAATGAATTTATTAATTAATAGCTATCATAATCATTATTAATTACTCTTAACTGTACAGCATTTCATATAATCTGTTCCATAATTCTTGCATATCTTTATGTTTATTTTGCCCGTATCAGATTAAATTTCTTAAAACTGAAAAAAGCAGGCCCGGCGTGGTGGCTCACGCCTGTAATCCCAGCACTTTGGGAGGCTGAGGCAGGCAGATCACCTGAGGTCGGGAGTTCAAGACCAGCCTGACCAACATGGAGAAACCCTGCCTCCACTAAAAATACAAAATTAGCCAGGTGTGGTGGCACATGCCTGTTATCCCAGCTACTTGGGAAGCTGAGGCAGGAGAGTCACTTGAACCCGGGAGGCAGAGATTGCAGTGAGCCAAGATCAAGCCATTACACTCCAGCCTGGGCCACAAGAGCAAGACTCAAAAAAATAAATAAATAAAAATAAAAACAAAACAAAACAAAAACCAACATCAACAACAACAACAAAATTGAAAAAAACAGAATACAATCTTCATATTCTATTGTGTACATTTCTTGTATTTATCAACTAAGCAAGGGATGTGGTGACCTGACATTTTTATCTATACAAGTTTGTAACATTTGGATAGGCAAAGAACAATTTTATCTACTTTCATTAACATTTTCACCAAAAATTAAGAGAAGGTAGTTTTCAAAGCCTAAGAATTATTTGCAAGAACTTGATATTGATTGGAAAACAAAACATTATTTTATTATTATTTTATTTTTTATTTTTGTGGATACCTAGTAGGTATATATATCTCAAAACATTATTTTAATTTATGCCTAAAGAAACTTATTGTTCAGAATCTACCAATTTCCATGTATTTACTTTAGCTAAAATGACATCCTTTGCTATACGCATTATTTATCTGTAACTAATTATTTTTACAGACTGTTTACTACCTAAAGAACAACGTATCATGTCAACACTTTGTCTAATACAATGGCAAGCAGCAAGAACAAATTGTACAAAATCCTGTTTCAAAATAAGCAAAATTATGCTAAGGGGGAGACCAATGTAGCCTAAGCAGATATCAAAGCAGAAACAGAGAGTTATATATGAGATAAAGGCAAAGTTCTTTGCCTTAAGATCTCCTAGAATGAAGTTGAGGTAGAGGCGCTGAAATTGACATATAATTAGACATATATTTTATCTTTTTCCAGAATAGTTTACTGAATTATTCCCTCCTATTGACCACTTGTGACTCAATACAGTCATCTCTAACTGTGGATACAGTTAAAATATTTTACCCCACTTCTTAAGACCATGTATCTCAAGGAAGATGCTACATGACATCTTTCAAGATGCCATTGTATAAGAACCTGCAAGTGTACACCTGGTTTATTAAAAATGGTCTGGATAAAAATAAGATATTCTGCAGAATCCTATAAATCCCTCTACTGCTGCTCCCTGGTTTCTGTCTGTAATTCTGGTTGGTTTCAGTAGTTGCTGATCCTTGGTTCTTGTCCTTGCCTTAGAATTTGGCTTTTTCCTTATGACACTCGGTAGTCACATTTAGCTGCCTTTTATATCCCACCTGAACTAAGGTCCCCTGGCTCTTTGGTAGTACTCTCATTGCCTTCTTCCTGCAGTCTTGTTGTACCTAGTTCCACATTGTGCATTGTCTGACAGCTGTGTCAGGTGTCTTATCTATTTTAGCATACATGATTGGTCAGTTCAGGAAAATAAGCACTTTATTTTTATACTTAGCTGACCACCTGGGAGGCCAATTAGGAAACTGCTGCATAAAGTAGTCAAAGACTGTGAGATTCAGAACTAAGGTGGTAGCAGCGAGGATGGAGAAATAAAAGGTTTAAGAGCTGTTAAAGACAAAATATCAACAGATTTGTTGACTGGTTGGGTAAAGGAGCAAAGGACAGGGAAATTCACGGATCATGCTTTATTTCTGGCTCAAAATATTGAGGTGATATGAAGCCATTTATTGAAGTGGTGAACAGAGGAGGAAAAGCAGATTTGGGATGAGGAAGATGTGATGAATTCAGTCACATAATTGAATCATAGGTGTGTCTGTAAGACATCTAAGTTGTGATGCCTGGTGTTTAGTTGAATATTGCATCTGCAGATCAGGCAAGAATTTTGGCTTGGGATAAACATTTGAGAATAGAGTATTTCTAAAAGGACCTAATGGTTAAAAGTGTTAAAGAAAGTCAAGGAATCACATACAATAAGGAATAAAACCTATTGGATTCACCACAAGAGGCTATTGATGAATATGGCAAATGGAGTTTTAGTGATATGGTGGGGGCAGAAGCTAGAATTCAGTGGATGGAGAAATAAATTGGAAAGTAAGGGAACAAAATGTCCTACCTTACGATAACAAGCAGATTTTTATCTCCTGTCAGAGTTAAGAGCCAGAATTACTTACATATTTTCTAAAAAATTTAAAATGAGAGATCTTCTACCTCTCTTCCACATCTATTCTCTATTTTTCCTGTCGAAGTATGTCTGCTGGTGTTTATTTTAAAGAAAAAACCTATACAAAATGTTTAGCACAAAGCTTTACATAAGTGCTCAAATAATGTAACTATAGCCATTTCTAATTATCTAAATCTAATCCACTCCTGAAAACATGTGAGAAGGCAAATTTTTGTGTAACAGAAGCAAATAATTTATATTGTAAATGGGAAAAATAATAATGCATTCTTAGTACATGCAAAAACCCAATTTCTCCAATAATCAATAAAACTCTCTTAAACATTTATTTAATAATCTACTAAGAATTTATGCATTATAAAAAGCACCTAATACTTGATTATTTAACATTTAATGAACACATTATTGGATACATTTGTGTAAATTATAGACAGCTTCAGATATTAACTGCATTTTCCACCTACACTGCAATTAGAACATGTGTTCTAGTATAGACAAACAAGAAGATAATATAATATGTAAAAAATACATATTGATGTAATTTACATAACAATAAAAGAGGACTTTTTAAAAAAATTGTTACTTTCCTGAGGATTAATGGTGAAGGAGATCTTTTCATTTAATAATACGTGCCACCTTTAAAGAAGGAAAACATGAAGCACCACCCTATCCAGATGATTTTTGAAAAATGAATGCAATGTGTTCAGCATTCTCTTGTACAACTCTCTGGAAATTACATGGAGAATCCTTATAACAGATTTAGATTCAAATGCTAAATTTGGGATAAATGTTCTAAAAAGTCCATAGTACTATAATGTGCACCTATAGTGTAATATGAGAGTGCAGTTGTTATGGGATATGGGCAAAAACATAGCAGAGGAGTGGTTCTAAATTGGGGATGATTTTGCCCCCTGCCCTGGGAGAGTGGGCAATGTTTGGGGACATTTTTGGTTGTCACAAAATAGAGGTCAGGGATGCTGCTGAACATCCTACAATGCACAGGACAGTCCCTCACAACAAAGAGTAATGCTGCCCAAATATTGATAGTCCTGAGGCTCACAAACTCTGAAAGAGAATAACGTTCAAAGCCATTTTCTGTGTAGAGAACAATGATGAAGTAAATTTGTATACAGGACAGGGCCAAGCTAGGGCCTTTAGGATATTCAGAACTGATGTTGGAGAAATAAAGTGTTGGATGGAGGTGCAGTTGGTTACAATTTCATGCAGAGTCCTGAATGTAACATGAAGAGTTTAGATTGAAGGCTTTATTTTTATTTTATGTATTATTTATTTATTTTAAGAGACAGGGTCTGACTGTGTCACCCAGGCTGGAGGGCAGCTGGAGTGGGTGTTGCAATCACAGCTCACAGTAGTCTCCAACTCCTAGGCTCAAGCAATCCTCCTGCCTTAGCCTCCTGAGTAGCTGGGAATACAGGCTTGCCACCACACCCAGCTAATTTTTCAATTTTTTTGTAGAGACAGGATCTCACTATGTTGCCCAGGCTGGTCTCAAGCTCCTGTTCTCAAGTGATCCTTCCACCTTGGCCTCCGAAAGTGCTGGGATTACAGGCATGAGCCACCACACTCAGACGAGATTGAAGGCTTCAGTGAAAAAGAGTGATGTGATGAGAATGAAGTTTGAAGATTTGTAGGCCACTTGAATATGTTCGGGAGAAGAGACACTGGCATCATAAAAATCCATGTGGGGCCGGGCGCAGTGGCTCACGCCTGTAATCCCAGCAGGTGTGGTAGGCTGAGGCGGGTGGATCACCTGACATCAGGAGTTTAACACCAGCCTGGCCAACATGGTGAAACCCTGTCTGTACTAAAAATACCAAAATTAGCCGGGCATTGCGGCGCACACCTGTAATCCCTGCTGCACGGGAGGCTGAGGCAGGAGAATGACTTGAACCCGGGAGGTAGAGGTTGCAGTGAGCCGAGATCGTGCCACTGCACTCCAACCTGGGCGACAGCGCGAGACTCCATCTCAAAAAAAAAAAAAAGTTTAAAAATCCATTTGGAGTGGGAAAAGAGCAGCATATGCCAGGACTGTCAATGGAAATATAGACAAAGGGTGGAACTAAACCAGTATTTCAGAGAAAACCTCAATTGGAATAAGGAACAGATTGAATATTGCAAAATCAAGGGTTGGAATAAATCTATATTATTAACATAGGGAAATACGCTACAGTGGAACTTTTCATGAACAGTATAATAAATACAAGAAAGGGAGCTGGTTTTGGTGGGGAAAACGAGAAAAAATATATTACATTCAGTTTTTACCTTGTTACACATCAGGTATGGATGAGACATCCAAGTGCATGAAATAATGTTAATTAGTACAGGAGTTTTTCAACTGACTTGTAATCTGAGCACTAACTCTGCACAATGTGTCATACATTTTTTACATGCAATCTCCCTTAAATTTCAAGGAATTACTTGGAATTACAAGGAGAATGATCTTACTACTCCCATTTTATTGATAAGAAGACTGAGGCTTAGCAAGGTTAAATGACCAAGGTCCTACAACTACCAAAGCAGTGAACTAGACTTTAACCCAGTGTCTTCTAGCTCTAAGTCCTGGGCTTTTTACTAAAATAATTTTCTTTCAGTAGTCATGTCTGTTTCAGTTACTTTCACACAGTCTCCTACAACCACATCTTTATTGATTTTATTACGTCACTTCCTCTAGCCGTACACTCTCATACACACACACACTTTTTAAATACCTTTTTTTGTTCTTTGAAAAGCAATACTTGTTAATGTAGAAATTTGGAAAACACAAAAAAGCACAAAAGAATAAAAATCATCATTAATTCTACCACATAGAAATAGCTACTAATAAATATCTCTTAGGTCATGATATAAATTTTTACCATTTTTCTTTTTCTTTTTTTCTCTATTGATGGTTTTCTTGATATACGGTGATATTTCCAAAGTAAATCATGAGGAATTAGAAAGAGGATATTAAGGAAAAGCATGGTACACAAGCTAGAGAATTAGCTCTCAAATCCATAAAGAAGAAACTTGGGTGGGGGTGGGGAGAGAGACTGGGGAGAGGGTAATTTCTAGAATCTCTTTTTGCCCAAGGATCACTAGGAACTTAATAAATCTTAGTTCATTTGTCATCTCTATGCTCAGCTAATGACAAGATTAAATTGAAGCTACACTTTACTGAGTGCTTATCATTTGCCAGGCGCAGTACTAAGAGCTTTACTCACATTATCTCATTTTATCCCTGCAGCATATTTCCAACTTAGAGAAGAAGAAACTTAGGCTTAAAGAGGTTTTTAAGAACATACCCAAGTTCCACATCTAGTAAGTGGGGAAGTGAGGATTCAGAAACAAATTTGTGTGGCTACAGAGGCAGTATTATTCTTTGCTATGCTGCCTCCTCTTGATGAAGAAATCAGGTGTGAAGTATATAATTCAGGAAAGTCAGTCGGAGAAGAGCTGAAAGAGATCTTGGGATCTCTGGTACAGAACACATTCTCATGGTTTTTAGCCTCAGACTCTCTTTTCTGTTCTTTTGTAGGAGTGGGTGGACATTTGGCATCCAGGATGTGGTTCCAAGCTTGAGCCATGGGATGGTTTTTATCTATCTTCATCAGAAGGGAGTATGCTAAAGAACACATATGAGATTACTGTGTGTCTGACACACAGTAGGCCCTTAATATTAGTTTGCTGAATGCACAAAGGGAGGGAACTTCACCAAACTGAAGATCATTTCTCAGGAGTAACTTTAATAACAAGCTGAGGCACAAAATCCCACTAAAGTTTACCAGCTACCTATTTAGAATGGCTGAATTTTAACAGATGTTGACTGACTCTCTTAGGAACTTAATATTATCTGCTACATTTCTTTTTTTTCTTTTTTTTTTTCTTTTTTTTTGAGATGGAGTTTCACTTTTGTTTGCCCAGGCTACAGTGCAATGGCATGATCTTGGCTCACTGCAACCTCCACCTCCCGGGTTCAAGCAATTCTCCTGTCTCAGCCTCCCAAGTAGCTGGGATTACAGGCATGCGCTACCACGCCCAGCTAATTTTGTATTTTTAGTAGAGACGGGGTTTCTCCATGTTGGTCAGGTTGGTCTCTAACTTCCGACCTCAGGTGATCCACCTGCCTCAGCCTCCCAAAGTGCTGGGATTACAGGCGTGAGCCACCATGTCCAGCCTACATTTCTTAAAGTCAGAATACTGCTCTTGAAAAAAAAAAAAAAAGAAAAGAATATTACAATAACATTGTGTGATTAGAAGTTATCACATTTTGGCTGAAATTTAAAATAAATAAAGATCTTTTGTTTTTGAAAAAAATATTTGGGAAACATAGTCTTTGGTTTTCAGTTTTGCACTGTTGATGGAGTTGTTATGGAAAAGTAAAGACTTTAAGTGAATAAAGTTTGGGTGCCTTTTTTCAGCTAGTCCTCCAGCTTGGGAATATTCCACCTGTCTGTGGAAACATGCCCTTCCTGTGAAGCTTGATGTCAGCCATTGATTTTACGTGAAGGCCTGTATTAAGCTGGGTGCAGTGGCTTGTGCTTGTAACCCCAGCTACTCGGGAGGCTAAGGTGGAAACATCACTTGAAGCCAGGAGTTTGAGACCAGCCTAGGCAACATAGTAAAACATTGTCTCTGCAAAAAATGTTTAAGGATTAGCCAGGTGTGGTGGCATGTGGGGACTGAGGCAGGAGGATTCCTTGAGCCTAGGAGTTTGAGGCTGCAGCAAAATATGATCACTCCACTACACTCTGGCCTGGGAGACAGAGCGAGAACTTGTCTCTTTAAAAAACAAAACAAAAGAAAATTAACAAAATATGAAGGCCTCTATTGGCCTAGTCACTCAAACGTATTTTTATACATAATTGTTGGGCAGATAGCCTGCATTTATTTTAATGATAAATGTATCAGTGCTACTGTTCCCTGAGGACTTCACATAAAGGAAGATATTTATCTCTGGAATTTTAGCCACATTACAATGAAAATAAAATGCAATTAACAAAATATTAATGCAAGTGTATTTGAAGATCAACTGCCTAATGGTTAGGTCTATATTATTCTCTAACTTCCTGAAAGTCAATACATAGCAGAGGCAATGAGTTAACCAGCCAATCAAAATCACAATATCTATCTACTTGTGAGTCTATTATTAATTCTTTAATAAAATGCATGGCTGGATGAGAGTTCATGCTTCCTGGTCTTTTAAAAACTTTTAGTCAGACTGAGTTGCTACTCTGAAGTCTGAGATTATTTAACATTATTTTTTAACACTAGACGACTACTGTAACACTATAGGAAGTAGACAGAATCATGGAACGTTAGAGCAACAAATGACTATCTAGGTCCCTTCTCGCCTTTTCCCTTAGAGATGGGAATACTGAAGACCAGTAAATACAGGAGAGTTGCTCAGTGTCACACAGTTAGTGGTAGAGCTGGGCCTGGAGCCCAGGGCTCCTGATTCCCAGGCCACTGCTCTCCACAACACCAAGTCACAGAATTTCAAGATCCCACCCAGAGTCTGATTTTGCAGATCCTGTGAGGAACTTGCCTAGCAGTCTGTGGACCCAGACTGTGTTCATTTATTTTTTTTCTAGACAAGGTAAAGTAGGAATTAAGTAGATGAAGGCATAAAGGAGCAACTGAAACTTACGTGAACTTGAAATTCTCTCACAGTGGCAGATGCCATGGGGATTTTTTGAGACTGCTTCTGGTGAAGGTGAACCACCCATCTACTCAGAAGTGAGTGTCAGGAATGGCTAGCACTAGCTTTAATTTTAGAAATTGTCTTTAAGACTCAAGATGGATAGGTTTCCTTGCAGTTACTGCCAAGTAAAATGGAGTATTAAGAATATTGATATTTCAGTTGCCATTATGCTGTTTTATGTTGGCAGTAGAACTAAAAACCAAAAAAAAAAAAGCAGTGAATTATCCCACTAATTTTCTATTGTTATTTTCAATATGAGTCTGCTTTAATTATTATTTTTACTTCATGTTGGATAATGAAAAGATTATAAACTTTGGTCATTTGTGTAACTCTAGCAGCAAAGGGGAAACAAAGGGGAAAGTAAAGTTTTTGAACTGAAGTTTTACTTTGTGTGTAACTATACAAGCTTACGACAAAAAACCACATACAAACAAAACTATGAACAAGTATAGCAGACATAGTTATTCATTTCTGCTTTTAAAACACTTACTTTTACTATATGAGTGGCTACTGGTAGTTATAACAAGTTAAAGATGGTCGAGTAATTTTGCAGTATACCAAAACTGCACCAATTCTCTATTAAAATACAACGACTTTGTCAAGTTGATCCCAGCATTTGCCTTTCAGCTCTGACAAAAACAGTTTTGATTTATTTAATGACATTTTTCAATCTGATTGTTAGATAAAGGTATTTTACAACAACCAAATCAAGTTGACCAGTTGGATTCTCATTCCTGCTCTTATTCACACTTCCTTATTACCTTTTCGTGTCCGAACAAGTTACCCAGAGTCATGGAGTATAGAGAGGAGTCAGCTCTTTTTACAAGATGCTTGTGTTTCAGCTTTTTGAAGCACCAGAAGAGGAATGTACCTCTCCTCTGTGTCTTTTGTGTGTCTGTAAACTGAAATTACAGATCTGCAATATAATAAACTGTTAAGAACAACATTCAGCCCAGTTTTTTTCTGGGATGAGGAATATGGATCTCTAATGTGTACAGGATAGTTTTAGGAAGCGTATGGATAGTGAATAACGCAATAAGAAAATTAGCCTCTTTCAGGTTTTTTGAGACTTCTAATTATATCAAGAAGAAAGTCTCAGTCTGGTGCTAACAAAGAAGTCTCTAACACTTTTATCTTCCTTTTTGAGAAACAGAAGACAAGCCTCAGGCTCAGCGTCTTTAGCAGATAACTATGTAGAGCCAGAATTTAATAATACTGTATGGTTTTCATTAAAAATATAATTTTTTGGGTTACCAACTATATGGATGACACTTTTTTAAATGGCAGATGCACAAAGCTTCCTTTTAAAATATGCTTAAAGTTAAAAATAAAAATAGAGTTAGTTTAAAGACAAACATTAAGTGAAAATTAGTGCAGTGAATATAGCAGTGGAAATATTACATAATGGCTGTAGTCAGTGACATGGTAAAAAGCACGAGGCTGCTGTGGTAATGACTATATCTTGGGGAGCTGGCAACCAACTCCCTCACTGGACAGATGTGAAACCCAAATCCCAGAGAGGTCAGAAAATCATAAAATCAGGACTGCTATCCGTAGGCCACCTACCAAATGGATGTTACCACTTTATTTGACAGCTTGAATCATTTTTTCAAAATGGCCTTTTTTCCATCACTTTGTGAACAATATACATTAAGTTTGAAGTTGAAAAACAATAAAACTTGATTTCTTCATCCCCACATTATGACAAGATTGACTTGGCAAGGTTATTGAAGAGGAACTGTTAGAAAAATGAAGCCAGAATTGTGAGACATGACTTAGTGAGAAGGCGAATGGAAAAGAATTCCTTCAATATAAAATTTAACTTTAAATTCAAAGCTAAAGTAGGGTTATTTTCTCTTTTGAGGCTGGTTTGCAAAGGTAAAAGTGGGTTTTGTTTTAAGTTTACAAGTCTCGAATTCTTGAAAACATAGCAAGACAAACTTTGAATCTTTTTTTTAAAAAAAGTACAGGCTTTTACAGAAATGAAAAACTGAAATGCTCCTAGAAAAAGAAAGCTTTAAATTAAGAGGAAATTCTGTGTCTTAAAAATATCATAATTAAATGCAGTTGAGGAAAGAAATCGACAGATTTTTGTGAAATCCTTGTGTTTCTGTGAGGTTTGAGAAGGATGCAGGAGCAACTTCCTCCTACTGTGCAGGGACTCCAACCACACTGATGCTCCAGCCAAGTAAACAAACATTCCGAAGGACAAAGAACAAAATTTCAGAATGACAGAATGGTCACTTCTGAATTAAAATGGACTTTTTAAAGTCAATCTTTAATTGACTTAAAAAATTAAAAACTTGCATATTTGGCTGGGTGTGGTGGTTCACACCTGTAATCCCAGCACTTTGGAAGGCTGAGGTGGGAGGATCGCTTGAGGCCAGAAGTTCAAGACCAGCCTGGGCATCATAATGAGACCCTGTCTCCATAAAACATTTTACTTTTTTTTTTTTTTTTTTGAGATGGAACCTTGCTGTGTCACCCAGGCTGGAGGGCAGTGGTACAATCTTGGCTCACTGCCACCTCCGCCTCCTGGGTTCAAGCTATTCTCCTGGCTCAGCCTCCTGAGTAGCTGGGATTACAGGCATGCACCACCACACCCAGCTAATTTTTGTATTTTTATTAGAGACAGGGTCTCACCATGTTGGTCAAGTTGGTCTCAAACTCCTGACCTCAAGTGATCTGCCCACCTTGGCCTCCCAAAGTGCTGGGATTACAGGCATGAGCCACCGCGTCTGGCCAAAACATTAAAAAAATTTAGCTGAGCATGGTGGCAGACGCCTGTAGTCCCAGATACTCCAGAAGCTGAGGCAGGAGGATCACTTAAGCCCAAGAGATTGAGGCTGCCATGAGCCATAATTGTTCCGCTGCACTCCAGCCTGGGCAATGAAGCGAGATCCTGCCTCAAAAATTAAATTAAATTAAATTAGATTGAAAACTTTTCTCTTATCACCTTGTCTACTTATTATCTATTTATTGAAGCCTGTCTCTTGTTGGAGTGGAGGGAATGAAAAGGTGGGCAGCAAAGTCAAGCTGGTTCATGCATTGATTGGATGTTAAAATCAATGTATATGGAAAGAGGTAAAATAGAGTAAGACATTTAACACATTTTAAAATCCCAGCCAGATGGGAACTAATTTTTTATCCTTTCTCTGCCTCAGTTTTCTTTATTCAAATAATGAGACCAATAGACCTCTGTGTTATTGGGTTATCTAAAGAAATAACTAACAGCAATTAGTGAAGTATAAAACCAAGGGTTGAAATGGGAAATTACACTGCGTATCCTAATGTCTAAATCACTCCCAGGTTGTGAACTAGGGACAGAGAAAAGTTATCACCCTTTCCAACTAACTAATATTGTCTCATCTTGAGGATTTCCATTTTCAGACCCCACCCTCTGGCTCTGACATGTTTATTCCTAATTCTGAGAGCCCAGCTGAATAGTCATTGGAGAAGTTTCAGTCCCTGGGAAATTCCAAGAAATATCATTCCATGCACACCATGGACTCTAGAATGGATATTCTTGGGCATTAGCTCACCAGGAAAGGGAACACTCTGCTGTACTCTGTTAGATTTTCTTGCAAGGATTCATGAGCAGATCTGTTTCGGATGCAGAATGTCTGAGCAGAAACAGAAATGACAATCATTTGAAATTGGGGATCACTTGTAAGCCATTTTCACAAAGGCCTGAAATTCATCTTTACAGTTCCTTGATTCACTCATGAGACTGCCATTCATCTAGTAGCATCATGTCATGTAGCCCAGCCCAGGTGATTTGAGAGTTTGTTTTAAGTGTCCAACCTTTAGAAATGTCTCTCCTGTAATCTCTGAAAAGAGGATGGTGGGGTAGACTAGAGGCAACACTGTTTGTGTGTGGATTCCACAATGCTTCTTTAAGAATCCATGTCAGTGTGAGTTAATTTGATTTATGTAACCCACAAATTATTTTTAGGACTTTGCCCAGGGTCAACTGCTTTATGTGTATTGCAAATCTCCCTTGTTTCATCAGGGAGGAATCTGACACAAAGAGCTATTTACTTATTTATCAACACAAAGTCACACATAGTTGTGTCATAATTGGAATACACCCTGATACTCAGCCTCCCATTTGGATGTTTCTTTTTCTTTTCATTTATTATTATTATTATTATTATTATTATTATTATTATCATCATCATCATCATTATTATTATTTTGGGACAGGATCTCACTCTACCACCCAGGTTGGAGTGCAGTGTCTCCATCTCAGCTCACTGCAGCCTCAACCTTCCAGGGCTCAGGTGATCCTCCCACTTCAGCCTCCCAAGTGGCTGGGACTACAGACATACACAACACACCTGGCTAATTTTTGTAGAGATGGGGTTTCACCACATTGCCCAGGCTGGTCTCAAACTCCTAGGCTCAAGCCATCCATCCGCCTTGGCCTCCCGAAGTGTTAGGATTACATCTGCGTCCAACCAGATGTTTCTTTTGCAATGTAATTCCCAGTAGCATTCTCTATCTCAGCTTTTACCCTATCTGACTGAGATCAGGAAGGACTGTTATTTCAGGTCTGCCTATCCTGGTCATTTATGAAGGGTATTACAATGGTCACATTTTACAGAAAAGGAAACAGTCTTAAGGAGAGGAAAGAATATACCCTAGTTGATGGAAGAAAAGCCAACTAAGTTAGCCATAAAGGTATTCATTCCTTTTGGTTAAAAAAAAAAAGTCATTTATCTTTGCTTCCAGAATTTCAGACCCAATGATCTCCCATCTTTCATGTCATCCTCTATAACTGGCTTCCTGCTTAGTTCTCCTACTCATCAAGTATGGGTTCACATTATTAGGCTTAATTAAAATCACTTGGCAGATTTTTCCATATTGTCAATAGCACACATACCTCTGCTCTTTAACCAATCACAGAAGAATTTTCTTATTCTCTATTATCCTTTAGGTACTTAAAAAGAGCTTTAAATAATGTTCAAAGGAAGCCTCTATCAATTGCAACTTGAATAATTCATTTGTAAAAAAATTAAAAATTTGTAGTGAGATATTATAAATGGAAAATGTTATTGGATCCTTTGTTTCAGAATATTTGCTTGAGGAAATGACCAAAAACTTAAAATCTGTTATAACATTGACCCCTTAGAGACATAATAAACATGGAAAGAGTGAAGAGTGTGGAATTGTTTAAAACCTGGTTTTGTCAAGGTAGATAACTTTACGTTGTGTATATTTTTCTCTTCCTTATTAATGGTACAAGCAGATAATTATGTTGAATGTTAAATGGCTCCAGGACAATGAGAATTAAATTGGCCTTAATAATAATGTGTTTGATTTTTGCCCACTCTGACAATATAAGGACATGCCCTCCCTGGGAAAGTTCAAATGAGAAAATTGTCTATCTTCTATTCCTTCCTAAATAGTGGCTCCTTTAATAATAATAATGAATATCAAATTTTAAGATGGCTTCCTCTACCATGACTTCAGTTTATATTCTGCTTTAGGGAGAAGTTGAAATCTCTGGGAGATGGTTGCACTCATTAACTATTTACATTTAGCATATATTTGCTGAGTACCTGACATGTACTAATCAGATACTCTACTAAATGTTAGGGACAGGCAAATGAGTAAGACACAGGCCTTGGACTTGGACCAAGGAGAAATATGTTAAGAAAAATTAATCAAAGCACATGTTTTAGTGAAGAAGTTAGGAAAGATTTCATGGAAGAGACCATATTGGATATGGTCCCAGAAGACTGAGTTGCCGTTTATTGCTTGAAAGAGGGAAGAATTATGGAGAAGGGCAGAAGTAAGAAAGTTGGACATTTTAAGTTCAGGAGGTAAATATCTCAAAGTATTTCAAGATAAATGACAACTGGTCTTAGAGTTTTACAAAATTTGAAGCCAAAGTTCATCAGTAAATTTTCTTTTCTCCAGTGCTGTAAGAAATCTAGTTTGTTATAACAGTGATGTCATTTTAATCTGATGCACTGTCTAATTGCTTCAATGACCAGACTTAAATAGTCTTTTCACAATATTTTTTCTCTTAAATTTCTGGTGGGCCAAAGAGATGCCAGTAGAGAAGTGAGCTGAAATTAGGAGATCGGAATGGTGACAGAGACTGGTCACTTTTTCCCCAAACACTCTCATCAAAGAACATGTTGTAAGATGCATGAGCACTGTAATGTAGATGCTATTCTAAAATTTCATAGAATTGGGCACTGAAGCCTAAAGTTATTGAGTCTAAACCTTGGGATTGAGAGCAGCTTTTTAAATTCACATGAAATCATAGATGTTAGGCAGGGGTGCGATGATATGAAACTGGAGGCCATTGTTCTGTTGTAAATGATTATATATGATACTGAGAAGGGCTTTTTATATCAGCAGACATTTTGGCATGGTTTGACATGGTTGTACATTTTAATGTTTTTTCACTTTCCTTATGAGCCCTTTTTTTATTTTTATTTTTTGAACTACCCATCCATATCCACAGCCTATTTTTCTTTTCTTTTTTTTTAAATTTATTATTTTTTTTTTGAGATAGAGTCTTACTCTGTCACCCAGGCTGGAGTGCAGTGGCACAGTCTTGGCTCACTGCAACCTCCATCTCCCGGGTTCAAGTGATTCTCCTGCCTCAGCCTCCCGAGTAGCTGGGACTATAGGCGCGTGCCACCACGCCCGGCTAATTTTTGTATTTTTAGTAGAGACGGGGTTTCACCATGTTGACCAGGCTGGTCTCAAACACCTGACCTCAGGTGATCCACCCGCCTCAGCCTCCCAAAGTGCTGGGATTACAGGCATGAGCCACCATGCCCAGCCTCACTTTCCTTATGATAGTAATTTTACATATAGGTGATCAAGTATCACTGTACCTCAGAATCACTTACTTTAGGTATCTCCATGCATTCATTCAAATAGACTTCTATAGAACAAATTCTTAGGCACCGAGGATAAGAAAGAAAAGAAAGAGAGAGAGAGGGAGGTGGGGAGAAGGGAGGGAGGAAGGAAAGAAAGAAAGAAGAAATGAAGGAAAGAGAGAGGGAAGGAAAGAAAGAAAATAAAGAAAAATATCCCTGCACTTAAGGTGCTTTTATTGTGGGATTGTGAAGAGTATGTTAATGTGCTAAAAGGCAGTCTGAAGACTTTATGAACTATGCTTACTTTTGGAAGGTACTGTAGCAATGAGAGTGGTTAAGGATTAAGATTAAGAGAAATCACTTCAGTGGAAATTGTACCCTATATAGTCATTTGAAACCTATCTCCTTTGGAATGTGCAAACTTTTTTTTTCATCAAATGCAGGATCAGTTAATCATCACATCTTCAGTAGTCTGGAAATGTCAGCATGCCATGAAAGTAGGTGTTCAAGAACATGACTGGAAAAATACTTCAATCCTCAGCCCACTTGGATGAAGCCAAAGAATCCACTGTCTATCTTTTCTATTCCAGCTGTACCTGTCAAAGTAATTTATCAGAATTAGTGCTCTTCTTGATGATGTAATAGTGAGCTGACACATAATTCTACTATATCTGATAAGTAAATTATTAGCTCATGCCAGAACAAAAAGGATGGACATTGCCACTCAAAATTGATTATTTTACATAACACAGGGACCACCCATAGACTACATAGGATTTTCACGGAACTTCAGAAATTCTTGAATCTCATTTTGAGAACCACTTTTCTATTGTACTTTATTCTGGTGTTTTCTTAGATAGTGTATATCTGGGATATATAGACAGAAAGTTTATGCTTCTAGTAAGAGCAGAGATGGAAACTTGAGCTGTGTGGATACAGGAATACTTCAGAAAAGCCTCAGGCTAATATAGTCAGACTTTACTCACTGGATTGCCTGGAAATAATTTTTGGTCAGTGCTATGAACTGAATGTTTTTGTCCGTCTGTGAGGCCATAGCAAGAAGGTGGCAGTCTGCAAGCCAGGAAGAGAGCCCTCAGCAGAAACCAAATGGTCCAACACTTAAATCTCAGACTTCCCAGCCTCCAGAACTGTGAGAAAATAAATTTCTGTTATTAAAGCCACCCACTCTATAGTATTTCGTTATGGCAGCCCAAGCAGACGAATACAATCAGAATAGGGTTTTGGGGGGGAAAGTGTAGAAAGTTGCTTTTTTTTACAATGTGATGTTAGCATTCCAGCTATATGTCCACATCTTATAAGAGATGCTAAATCAGTTTTTGGATTACTTTTCAAGAAGCCTAAAATGAGTCTGGGTTTTCTATGACTTTGGTAGATAAACAGGCAATACAGAAAAAGTTCACCTCATTTTAAATTTTCGTTTTTCCCCTTTTTAACGAGTTTCTACTACCAAATATTTGTCATCACTGCAATAGTCTCCAGTTGGGCACATGCATAAACTACACACAGACACATACACACAGACACACACACACACGCAGACTCCCATGCATATGCTCCCTGACCATGCCATAAATTTTAGGAGTTTGCCTATTTAATTGCCACTGATCTAAATTGATTTCAAAATGAAATGAAACAAATTAAGTAATCTTTGGTTTTATTTCATCCAATCACCAAGCAAGAGCAGTAAGCTTAATTTAAAGAATGGTGGTATGGCCTAGATTTCCTATCTAGCAAGGAGATTTATAGCATAAATGACACCAAAAAAATGAACTAATAGGGTACTATATGTGATTCTATGTTAAAAAGGGGAAATTATTTTACAGGACTCATGAACCATTATTTTAAATCCTTTTGTAAATATGATTTAGTTCATCATCTTTTCTGATTATATTTATGTTCAGCTCCCAAGTACAGCTTCTGCTTCCTTTTTTGAAATGCCACCAACAGCAGTACCATTTTCACTAATACAAACAATGTTTATAGTGCCCAGAAATGGTGTTAGGAATATAGGATTCTTTCATTATTTGTCAACTAGACATTCCTCAAAGAGGTGCCCTATTTAGTTCTGGCTTAGCTTTTTGAACAAAACCATTTAAGTATCATAATTTTTAAGTTCTTCATGAAATTTTCATGTTTCTATAATAGTTGTCATTAGGTAGATAAAAGAATATTATAATCTTTTATTTCTAAAAAATATAATTTGCATACCTAAATGGATTAGGAATTAAATCATAGATTTATAATACAAAACAATTTTGGCTTTTTAGGTCAGTGATGGGTTCACTAAATTCTTAGAAACATAACTATAACTTTGTTTGTACTGAACTCTTATCCTTAGAAGACTAAAATATTTTAACTCCATGAAATATCTAAGCAAGACATTATTGTGTGATGCTTAGGAAGAAGGATTTGGAGAAGACTAACTGAGTTTAAACCCTAACTTTACTAACTAACTACACAACCTTGGGAAAGTCACCAGGGCTTTCTCTTGCATCATTTCCATATTTGTAAAATGGGGATAATAATAAATTTGATCTCACAAGTTTGCTTTGATGATTAAATTAGTAAAGATTTGTTACAGAGAACAGTAAAATAAAAGTGTTCACTCTTGGTAATAAGGTATTGCACAACAGTCAACGAAGGTCTGAGAAGGAAAAAAATAAAAAATATGCACTATCTGGCACAGCCAAATGGAAAGGAGCCTTACAGGTCCTAAATTATGACATACATTGTTACATCCACTGCAGGAACCAGGATATTAACTACAAATATTATTGGGTCTTCCTAATTCAGCATCATTTCTTAGTAATACCTGAAGACAATGTTTATAACACTTAGAGATAATAAAAAGATAACTAAGACTAATTAAGAATAACAGAGTAAACTGCTTTGACTTTCATCTTTATTATCTAGGGTTCTCTGGTCTTCAAAGTTGACACATCATTTGACCCCTTTTCTCTCACATGTTTAGCTATTGACTAGTTTGATCATTCTTTCTGTCCTAATTTAGTCCAAACTTGGATCATCATCTTTCTTCTTTGTCACCTACTCCTTTCTGTTCTTTCTGCTGCTCACCATAATCCCACCTTTCCCAAACTCAAGAAGAGTTTTTTCAAGGAATATATGCTATCCCACCTCACCTGGTTGCTTATATCCAGCTGTCCTGCTTCTAATAGCATAAGAGATGCACCGTGTGTCATTGGAGCAAATGATGGTTACTGTTCTGCTAGTTCTCAATGGTAACAACCCCAGGTGATTCCTCACCAGTACCTGATGGTAAGGAGGAACAGTTTTATGGTAGGTCATGCCAGTTTAAAGGTATTGGTCTGGTCTTCCTGCTTAAAATAATGAATGGCAGAAGAGAGAACCATATATCTTGGGATCTGAACTGGTGACCTAAACATAAGTTTCAGCACCTGTTAAATACCCCAGAGCTATTCTAGCCCTTAAAGCTATTCTTTGCTGCTCATTTGAAAACGAACATTAAGGAGGAGAAAAAGGGCATGCTGAACACCAAGCATGAACTGAAGACCTTTAGAAAATCTCTTTAATATTTACTTGCCCAAGCATGCTCAATGGAAGACTTGTCTTATTGAATTCATACTGTATCAAAATGACTTCTCAGAAGACACCTGTTGAAAAAAAGTATTTGTTCAGAAGAGAGTAATTTAGATAATGGAAGTAAGAAGGGCTAAAGACGGTGATTAGTCCATGCCTTTGTATTAGTCTGTTTTCACACTGCTATAAAGAATTACCTGAGATTGGGCAAATTGTAAAGGAAAGAGGCTTAATTGACTCCCAGTTCAGCATGGTTGGGGAGACCTCAGGAAACTTACAATCATGGCAGAAGGCAAAGAGGAAGTGAGCACATCTTACATCGTGGCAGGAGAGAGCAAAGAAGGAAGTTACACACTTTTAAATCATCAGATCTTGTGAGAACTCACACACTGTCATGAGAACTGCATGGGGAAAACTGCCCCCATGATCCAATCACCTCTCACCAGGTCCCTCCTTCCACATATGGGGATTAAAATTCAAGATAAGATTTGGGTGGGGTACAGAGCCTAAACATATAATTCCACCCCTGGTCCTTCCAAAATCTCATGTCCTTTTCACATTTCAAAATCAATCCTGCCTTCTAACAGTCCCCCAAAGTCTTAACTCATTCCAGCATTAACTTAAAAGTCCAAGTCCAAATCTCATCTGAGACAAGGCAAGTCTCTTCCACCTATGGGCCTGTAAAATAAAAAAAAGAAACAAGTTAGTTACTTCCAATACAATGGGGGTACAGGCAATGTTCCCATTCCAAAAGGAAGAAACTGTTCAAAACAAAGGGGCCACAGGCCCCATGCAAGTGTGAAATCCAGCAAGGCAGCCATTAAATTGTAATGCTCCAAAATAAACTCCTTTGACTCCATGACAAATTCAGGTAATGCTGATGCAGGAGGTGGGCTCCTAAAACCTTGGGTAGCTCTTCCCTTGTGGCTCTGCAGGGTACAGGCCCCACAGCTGCTTTTACAGGCTGATGTTGAGTGCCTGTGGCTTTTCCAGGCACACAGTGCAACATGTTGGTGGATGTACCATTCTTGGGTATGGAGGATGGTGGCCCTCTTCTCACAGCTCTAGTAGGCAGTGCCCTAGTGGGGACTCTGTGTGGGGGCTCCAACCCCACATTTCCCCTTTGCACTGCCCTAGTACAGAGGTGCTCCATGAGGGCTCTGCCCTTGCAGCAGATTTCTGCCTGGGCATCCAGGCATTTTCATACATCCTATGAAATCTAGGCAGAGGATCCCAAAGCTCAACTCTTGTCTTCTGGACACACACAGACCCAACACCATGTGGAAGCCACCAAGGCTTGGGACTTGCACCCTCTGAAGCAATGGCCTGAGCTATATATTGGCCTCTTTTAGCCACAGCAGAAGCTGGAGCAACTGGGATGCAGAGTGCCATGTCTCGAGGCTGCGCAGAGCAGCGGGGCCCTGGGAGCAGCCCACGAAACCATTTTTCCCTCCCAAGCCAAGAAGTTCTCTGAAATGGCCTGGAGACATTTTCTCCATTGTCTTAGCTATTAACATTTGGTTTCTCATTACTTATGCAAATTTCTGCAGCCAGCTTGAATTTCTCCCCAGAAAATGGGATTTTCTTTTCTACCACGTGGTCAGGCTGCAAATTTTCCAAACTTTTATGCTTTGTTTCCCTTTTAAACATAAGTTCCAATTTCAAACCATCTGTTTGTGAGCACATATGACTGTATGATTTCAGAAAAAGCCAGGTCACATCTTCATGCTTTGATGTTTAGAAATTTATTCTGTCAGATACCCTAAATCATCTTTCTCAAATTTAAAGTTCCACAGATCTCTGGACAAAATTCTGCCAGTCTCTTTGTGAAAGCACAACAAGAGTGGCCTTTGCTCCAGTTCCCAATAAGTTCCTCATCTCCATCGGAGACCACCTCAACCTGTACTTCAATGTCCATATCACTATCAGCATTTTGGTCACAACCATTCAACAAGTCTCTAGGAAGTTCCAAACTTTCGCACATCTTCCTGTTTTCTTCTGGGCCCTCTAAGCTGTTCCAACCTCTGTTACCCAGTTCCAAAGTCACTTTCACATTTTCAGGTTATTTTTATGACAATACCTCTCTCCTGCTACCAATTTTCTGTATTAGTCTGTTTTCATACTACTATAAAAAACTACCTGAGACTGGGTAATTTATAAATGAAAGAGATTTAATTGACTCACAGTTCTGCATGGCTGGGGAGGGGGAGGCCTCAAGAAACTTACAATCATGGCAGAAGGTGAAGGGGAAGCAAGGCATATCTTACATGATGGCAGGAGAGAGAGAGCAAAGAAGGAGGTGCCACAGTTTTAAACCATCAGATCTTCTGAGAACTCACTCACTATCATGAGAACAGCATGGAGGAAACCATCCCTATGATCCAATCACCTCCTACCAGGTCCCTCCCTTGGCACATGGGGATTACAATTTGAGATGAGATTTGGGTGGGGACACAGAGCCAAACCATAACACCCTTCATCCATTTCTTTATCCTTTTTTCGTTGAAACTCAAGCAAAATAACACAGGAAGTATAATATTGTGGTGTGGTGGAAAGAACTCTTATCCTGAGGCCAGGGTGTGGGTTCAAGGTTTGTTATCTAGAAAAGTCATTTATTTCTCTGAATTTCAACATCTATTCATATGAAGAGGTAATAATATCTACCTTACAGAAATGTTGTAAAGATTAAATAAGAACTTTGTATGTTGCTTTAAAAATATTTGTTATTTTATTGTTTATTTTATAAACAACAATTAATTTTGATGCTATGGATCTGAATAATTAAGATCCCAAAATGTTGCTTTCTATCAAACTATGTGGACATTTTTGACTTTTCTTCCCCAGAAATTCATAATCTGCGTGTCTTCTGCTCTGCAGTGTGTGAAGTACAAAGAACTCAAACGTTGGAACATAAAAGATCTGAATTCACACACTGGCTAAGGTGTTCTGGATTCACTTAGCAGTTAGTGCTAGTCAAGTCTTGTATCCTTGGTTATCCTTTCCATAATATGGAGCTAGCAACACCTACTTTGCAGAGTTTTAGAAAGGATGATTGGTAAAGTATGAAGGTGCTTAGCATAGTGAACAGTTCATAGTAAACAACCATTATATTGTAAGTTATATTGGGATTCTTTTCTTTTTGGTATGCCTTCATATTATCATCAAAAATATGGGTTTGTCTATGTTTAGAACTACTTTGTAGGTCCTCAAGCATTGTGCTTATTGGGTGAAATGCTGACAAGATTGTACCTTGAAAAACAGGAGTCATTTGGATTGATAAAAATTATTTAAAAATTAAATAGCTCAAAATTCTTTTCTTTTCAGATAGTGTAGTTGGAAATTCTTTAGAAACTCAAGTTCTGTAAGGGACATAGACATTTTAAGTCATGGTTACTGCCTTCAAGAAACTTACACCCTGGTTGGAGGCATTGTTTTCACTAATATCTGTGTCCAACGAAATGATGTCTTTATATAGTGACTGGGCTGTGAGGTAAGAAAAGGAAAAATGCTTTCGGAGATTAGACAGATGTCTTTAAAATCATTCTTCTGTCAATGGAAATGAGCCATGGGGAATCAGGTAGCAGGGAGGCAGAGGGAATGAAAGTCTGCTAACTTTATATTTTGTGTCAAGTGCAGTACTAGGCAATTCACATCCATTGTTTTAGTTAATCCTAAAAATAATACTATGAGATGGATTGTAGAATATTGACTTTATGGCTAAAAAATGTAGTAACCTCAGAGAGGTGAAACAACCTTGTCTAAGATCACATACCCAATAAGTGTTGGAAATGGGATTTCAATCATTAACAGGGGGAGAGTAGAAAGTGGGTTTTATTCAATTTAATTGAAAAATATTTATAAAATTTAAGTATCTCACCTTCTCCAAAAATTCCTTAATTTATCTCCTGGATTTCCTCCTTTTCTTCTCTGTTGAACCCCCAGTGAGTTCAATGCTAGTTTGTGAAACCCTCTAATCAGGGCAAGAGCTATAGCCATTCTTTCAGTGCACATGGCCCAGATGGCTTATCTTATTTTTTAATCTGTGTACTTTTAGCAAGGGGAAAAACTGACAACTATTTCAGATGTGCTAGTGTTTAGTATCAAATAGAAATAAACTAATTCAACATTAATTTATTGTAAAAATGTTGTACAGAATATACCACAATTAAGATACACAATTCAATCATTTATCCTTTCACTTAATGAATATTAGTGATCATTGCTCCCACCCCCTAGTCACAAAACTTTATAAAGCAGTTTTAGATAATCAGTACAGTCAGCTGCAAGTAGTGGAAAACCAAATTAACATGGCCTAGCCGAAAATAAATTTTTTGTGTATCAAGAAGTCTGAGGATGGACAATTCGAGACAGGCAGAAGAAGGGTGAAGAGATCATGAGTCCATCACTTTTTAAAAGTGTTTTTAGGAGTCCCAATTAGCAACTTCAGCTTGCATCTCATTAGTCAGAATCCATCATATGGCCACTCCTGGCTGCAAGGAGAGCTGTGTTGTGGTTTGGAATATAAAAATTGTAAGAAAAAGAAAAATATTATCAGAAAGGCAGAAAGAAGTCTTTCTAGAATATCAAGAAATTTAGTTTTCCAGCCTCTATAAAAGCAACTCAATAGTATGAAAACAAATAACCTGATTAAAAAGTGGGCAAAAGGCCTGAATAGACATTTTTTAGTAGAAGACATACAAATGGCCAACAGGTACTGCACTGCATATGAAAAAAACATTCAACATCACTAATCACACAGGAAACACAAATGAAAAAAACCACCAGATATCACCTCACACCTATCAGGGTGACTATTATCAAAAAAAAACAAGATAACAAGTATTAGTGAGGATGTGGAGACAAGAGAACCATTGCACACTTTTGATGGAATTTAAAATTAGTACAGCAATTACAGAGTCAATAAGGAAGTTCCTCGAAAACCTCAAAATATGATCCAGCAATCTCACTACTGAATATATATCCGAAGAAAAAGGAAACTGATATGTTGACGATACAGCTGGATTCCCATGTTTATTGCAGCACTATTCACAATAGCCAAGATATGGAATCAATCTAAATGTCCATCAACAGTGGAATGAATAAAGAAAATGTGGTATATATACAAACAGTGGAATACTATTCAGCCATTAAAAAAAAGGAAATCCTGTCATTTCTGACAACATGGATTAACTTGGAGGGCATTACGTTAAGTAAAATAAGCCAGGCACAGAAAGACAAGTACTACATGATCTGTTACATGTGGAATCTAAAAAAGATGATTTCATAGAAGTGGAGAGTATAAGGCTGGGCACAGTGGCTCACACCTGTAATCCCAGCACTTTGGGAGGCCGTGGCGGGTGGATCACCTGAGATCAGGAATTTGAGACCAGCCTGGCCAACGTGGTGAAAACCTGTCTCTACTAAAAATACAAAAAAAAAATTAGCTGGGAGTGGTGGCAGGTGCCTGTAATCCCAGTTACTCAGGAGGCTGAGGCAAGAGAATTGCTTGAGCCCAGAAGGCAAAGGTTGCAGTGAGCTGAGATCATGCCATTTGGTACTCCAGCCTGGGCAACAATACTGAAACTCTGTCTCAAAACAAAAAAAAAGAAAAAGAAAATAAAGAAAGAGAGAGAGAGAAGGAAGGAAGGAAGGAAGGAAGGAAGGAAGGAAGGAAGGAAGGAAGGAAGGAAGGAAGGAGGGAGGGAGGGAGGGAGGGAGGGAGAGGGAGGGAGGGAGAGAGAGAAAAAAAGAAAGAAAAGTGGAGAGTATAATGATAGTTACCAGAGGCTAAGTGGTTAGGTGGTTGAGGGTGGGGGGAACTTGTTAGTTAAAGGCTACATATTTATAGTTAGATCGGAGGAATAAATTCAAGAGGTCTATTGTACAGCTTGGTAACTATAGTTAATGATGATAGATTGTATCTTGGAAAATTCTAAGAGAGTAGATGTTAAGTGTTCTCACCACAAAAATGGTAAATACATGAGGTAATAAATTTGTTAATTAGCTAAGTTTAACTATTTCACAATGTATATATACTTCCAAACATCACGATGTACACAGTAAATATATAGCATTTTATATATAAATTTAAAAAATAAATTTGAAAGAAAGAGAGAAAGGCAGGGCAGAAAAAAAGGTGTGAGTGGCTTTTAAGAAACTATTAGTTCATTACAACATTGAGTGAAGGAAGCTACTAGTCTTACCTGAGCTGTGTTTGATGATGCAAAAGGTACCCTGCTTCTATCACTTTTTCAAGTTTCTTGGCCTCTGGAGCAGAGATAATTTTAGTAGTTACAGGGTTCTTATGTCCATTTTATGAGCTACTGAATGTAAAGTGCTTAACACTGTGCCTGGCACATAGTAAACTTTAATATATATGGGCAACTATAACAATAAAATTAATATTCGTTGGTATCATTATTAAGTAGTATAACACTCATTCTTCTCCGTGACTAGAATGAGCCTTTTTACATTATCTGCATATTTTTTGTCCTAGGAATACCCATCTCGAGTTCTGGATATGTGCTCTGAGAAGGTGCCCATGTCACCGACCACACTGGAGGCCAATGCAGATACTGGGGGAAGGTTCCATGGTAGCTAAGTGTGGACAAGCTAATCACTGAAGTTCCCTGATGCAGAGTTGATAATCTCTCTAGAGTTGGATGAAAGACTGTGCTGCCTTGAAGCTCTGAGAGATGCCATGCCAATTCAAGGCAGGGTCTTTATTGTTGAAACTCTTGCGTAATGACATCTTTATTCAGGTGAAAATACAGGATGAATTTCAACTATATGATATTGTTTATGTTCCTCAGACATGTTATTTGTCTTTACAAAGATTGGTTTCAATAAACTGTGTGACTGATATTAAATAAACATGGAATTTTACACATTCATAATATTTGGTTTCTTGTGATTTTGATGAACTATACTTTCAAGCATTGTCAGTTCATCCTCATTTACAAGGAAACATTTGCTGTAGCAGAGTGATGTAGTGACTTGCTTTACTTAAGATAAGTCAACTTTTCTATTCAATGTTTAATGTGAAACTGACTTAAAAATTTTCTTTTAGGCCACATTTACATTTCTGTTTGTATAACATGCATTATACTATTTTAACTTAATACTATGGCTATATAAACCAAAGACATCCTAATTCTGTTTTTAATTTATTGTTTTGCAAGATAAATAATTTTTAATGCACTAATGAAGCTAAGGAGTTCATATTAAAAGACATGTTATATGACCTACTGAAGTTGAGCTATGGAAATTGACTATCTTAAAAGTAATTTTATAAAATTATTTTGTATAAAATTGACTTTCTTGTATGAATTCTTGACAACAAATATAAAACAAAAGGAAGTTGAAACTCCTTCTACATCCTTCTACACACTGAGGAGAGTTAATTGAATTCTTTCTAATGTCATGATTTTTGTGTTTCTTAGAAAAAGAAATCAGATGAATAGTAAACATTTCAATTGCACATATCTGCTTCTGGCTACCTATTTAAAATGAAAATCTTTTTCAAAGTACACCTAGATTTTTCACATCTTTAAAGTGATATCATTTTATTTGTAGATTTATTCATGAAATGTTTTCATTTTGCCATCCAGGAAAAGAAATGTCACGGATTTTTTTTTTTTTTTGAGGTGGGGAAGCCCGAAAATATGCAACCCTGAGCCCATGCTCCTTCATCCTATAGCCTCTTTCCATTCCAGGCACCCTGTAAGCACTCATCTACATCTCAAAGATAAAAGCTATGAAAGGGCAAATAAATATGCCAAGAATTAAAGTTCCTCTAACCTTAAAAGGGGTTATTTAAAACAGGCACTCCTGGTATACCATGACCAACTAAGGTCCATATACTGGCATGTGTTGGATACGCTGCCTTTATAGAAAGGTACCAGGAAGATGTTGAGGAGGGGAAGGTCAACCAGCTAGTTCAGAGCAAGTTTCAAACAACAGGGTAATGGTGTCTTCATACCTAACATCTGATTTTTAGTTTTGAAATTGCAGTGGTGGTGATGGGGAGGAAAATCAGCGAGGGGAGAGGGGAACTGATGAACCTAAAAAGCAGAAGTAAAAAAATAAAGTCTGTAGGCATGGTAGTGACAAAATGCTGATTCTTATGGCTGCACTTCAAAGCATGCTAGGACAGGCTTGCAAGGTCCAGCAGGATTATTTAAAAGGCTTGGAATTTTGAATATATATTTTTTAAAACCCTTTTCCTTCTGTTTTATTTTTTCCCCAACCACTAGACTACCAGAAAAAAAAAAATACTTTCTATGCCATCTTTTAGATTGGGTTACTTTGGTGGATGAGTAACCTCACCCATTCCTAGGATTCTTTTCTTTTGACTAGTTTCATTTTTCAGGCAGTGACCTTTCCCTGACCTCAGCCCCAAACTCCAGGTCACCTTTCTGTAGCCCTGGTGTAGCACTGAATAGAGGGTTTACCAGATTGTTGGCACTGGATAAGTGGTACTGGGCACAATCGTCCTCTTTCATAAGCAGGAGGGAAGTTTCCTTTCCTAGGATTGAGAGAGCTGGCTGACTTATGCCCCCTTTTCATTTTGTTGTCCAGTAATTTCCCCTCTGGCCATATCTGCAAACTAGTTGCCTTGCAGGAAGGTGACATGCACCACTGATGCAAAAAGACAAACAAAAAGACTGTTATTGGCATCAGCACAACTTTCAATGGTACTTCAAAACAGATTCATTTGATAGTGAAACGTTAGTTATTTGCCCCAAATAATTAAAAAGTTTAATTGATTAAAGCTTAATCTCAGCTATTTAAATATTTCTATGCTTTTTTAAATTACACTCTCCTGAATAAAATCATTACTAGCTATGCCAATCTTCAATCTGCCCTCAAATTACCCTAGGAAAGATCTCCTTTTACCTCAACATGAAAACAATTTTTTCCCAAGTTTTCAAATAGTGGGAAAAACATCATCTGATTAGACTTCAGTAGGAGACCTTAAATACCCTCTATCATTTGGCCTTCATGTTGCCACATAGCCATGGCCCTACCAACAGGATGGGCACTTCTGATGTTCTCCAATGTTCTGCTGTTTCTTTTCCAGGAAGTAACCTGTTTCATGGGTCCTAATGCTGAGATCCCAGGGCTGCAGTGTTTTAGTCCATTTGAGCTGCTATAAAAAAATACCTTCAACTGGGCAATTAATAAACAGTAGAAATTTATTTCTCACAGTTCTAGAGGCTGGGAAGTCCAAATCAAAGCACCAGGAGATTTCATGTCTGCTGAGGGCCTGCTTCCTGCTTCATAGATGGTGACTTCTAGGTGGGTCCTCACACGGAGGAAGGGGCAAACAAACTTCTTTTGGCCTCTTTTATGAGAGTGCTAATCTCATTCATGAGGTCTCTGCCCTTATGACCTAATCACCTCTTAAAGGCCCTATCTCTCAATACTATTGCATTGAGGATTAGGTTTCAACATAAGAATTTTGAGGGAACACAAACATTTAGATGACAGCATACAGTGAATGGCAAACTCTAGCATGTCACATTGTAATGCAAGACCAGTGTACCAGCCTGTCTCTTTTGAATAAATCAATGTGGCAATATTGATGATTTCCAAAGCCTCCCTTTTGTATTCTGTATTTGCTACCATTATAAGGATGTCAGCACTAAAGAACAAAAAAAGAAGAAAAAAGAAAAAGAAGGAGGATCTCAATAGCTAATGGGAAGCATTAAGCTAATCCCTTATCTTGCCACCCAACTTTGTCAGATTTTGGAAAAATAGTGCTTCAAATTATTTTTCCAATGAATAGACTCGTGTCTTATGTTTGGGCATTTAATTAGGCCCAAGGGGGAAAAAGGTAGAAGTTTTTAATACTATTTTGCTATGCAAAATACACATGAATATTTCCACTATATTAGGTAGTTCTATATCAAATATACTTGTGATTCTAAGCGGCCTGGCTTTGGTCCGGCAGAATGCAACCATCAGTCAATGTTAGCTCCATGCAGCCGCATTGTTCCCTGTGCGCTCTAAAGCAATCAAACGAGTCTGCAAATGTTCTTCAAAGAATACATCTAGACTGTTACTTCGTTAAACATCTCCTTGGCATTCATTCTATTTTCCGCTTTGAATTGCTGCATTTAGTTTTGTAATGACCTTCTATAGCTAGGAGGTTTTATTAACTCTTTGATCTTCTAGCTTTGGGATGAAAACAAAGAAAACATAAATGAGCACTTTGTGCACTGTCTTATAGAGGAGACCAGAAGAAAAAAGGAAATATGTTTTCATCAAAAAGATTGGTTTGTGTGGAGACTTTCAGCCCTTCCTGTTCTTTTCTCCCTTTGAGTAAAATGCTTATCAATGTTGTACATGTGTTTGTTTTAATGTCTTCTTTATAACAAAGTCTTTGTTTCTCTTCTCTGTAGCTCTGGTAGCTGAGGTTAGGGTCAGATATCTCTTTATGGATTTTCTTTTTAAGAACATTTTCCATCCTTGGTTTCCTCTAATCCAGAGTATAATTCTTGGGTAATCTGTCGTTGTATTTATGAGATACTGGAAGCCCTGCTCTGTTTCCAAGTATTCCTTTGTGTGTGTCTACGTGAGTGGTGAAGGGGAGGGCATCCCCAAGCCGGTAGTCACTTAATACTATGCTGAGAAAAAGATTGAGAACTCTCTGTATCCAAATCTCAGTTCTGCACTTCATTGTAACTGTGTCTGTATATTCTGGAGCATTTGGAGTAGAACCTCACCATTTAGTTATCTTGCTTCCTAAGTCCTGAACTCATACCATTATTAACATATGGATGAAATACTGCCTTTCAAATTGACTGTATTTTTATCTTTTGTCACCCTCTTTTTTCCCTTTTTTTACATACTTAACTGACTTTACCTTTTTTGGTCTTTTATCACAACTTTGGAACAAAACTTTAGGTAAAAGATTATAAAATACTGAAGTCCTACTCCTAGCTTGAAAAAGTAAAATAAATAAATAAATATAAATAAATAAAAGATTATAAAATACCAACATTTATGATACAAATTAAATACAAAGGGTGGAAATAGTTACTCATCAGAGCAAGCCTTTTCTTTTCCCCAATCTCATAATCAGCCATTTATTATATCAAACACTTTCTTTAGCATCTTGAAATTTGAAACTCCTCTTTGTTGTTAAATCTAAAGCAATCTGACCTAAGAGCCCAGAGACTTTTTTGATTTGCTTAATCTAGACTCTAGAACAGCAGGTGAACTAGCTATGTGCTGATAATATTATCTGGTTATTTTGCAGTGCCTTAGGTTAATTGGAAATGGAAAGCCATTATTCATCTCAAAGTGGCTTCATTTCATTTTGGCTAAGTTTTCCTTTTGTTTGACTCATTTAATACTAATTGTGGTAGTGATGTGCTAAAACTATAAAATTATATAATTCCACTAGTCTCATCTCTTTTTCAGAGATGAAGAAATAATGAGTGACAGTTTACTTAGGGGCCTTGACCAAGTAAGGTAAACTTAACATTAGAACCTGCACCTTTTCATTTCCAGTCAGCTTTCATTTGCTTTCCTGGGTCAGACAAAGAATAAGGGAAAATGATCAACTATTGATATGGGAGACTCAGCTCTTCTTGGTGAAACTCAAATGACGTCTTCACCTGAAAGAGCAGTGGCAACTAGCTTAGCAAATCTTTCTCATATCCTCACTTGATGCCTTTCCATTGCTTTCTCCTTCTGGGAACATCCCTTCCTCATCTTAGTAATTCCTTAGATTGTTCTGTAATTACTTGTTTGTCGTGCTTTAAGTTATAATTTCCCTAAGCTGAAAACTTGCTTATTTCTAGAATATGTTCTCAAAATATTTCATAACGATATTAATAACTATAAAATGCTAAAAACTGTGAGACTGCTTCTATTTGAAACTTAAATTATAGATAAATAACTTACTTTTGAAAGTGTCTCAGTCTGGTAGCTGTGATCAGAAAGCAGTTTAAATTTACAAACACCTTAAGAATGTTTCTAAACATTCTATTGAAATGCCTTTTTGTAACAAAATAGGTGATAGAGCAGTCAGTATTTATATACATGCAATACTTTAATCTTGGGTACAAAGCAAGATGACAAGCAAAGACATTAGCAGAGCAGTTATTAAATGAAAATATGATATAGGTAAGAAATGCTGAAATTTGAGATCTTGAAATAGTATTATTTTAAATGGTCCCAGAGAGATTTGAAAATATTGGGAAGAAAAAAATCAAGGTACTTACACATTTCTTTCTATTTTTACCTTTTGGTGGTCCAAATAGTTTGACACAGTATAACATTTATTCAGAGGGTAATCGTATTTTAAACCTATTTGATATTTTACACTTCATTTAAAAATCTCAAAATACCTTATTAAGTAGTAATACTGCAAAGGTTATACACAGGTTTATTAAACAGCTGAAGAGGAAAATATTTTATAGTGGGCAATGACAATCTTGTGCCACTTAACGATGAACAGTTTCTGAGAAATGTGTCGTTAGATAATTTTATCATGCAGATATCATAGAATGTATTTACACAAACCTAGAGGTTATAGCCTACTACACACCTAGGCTATGTGGTATAGGTTGTTGCTTCTAGACTACAAGCCTGTACAGCATGTTACTGTGCTGAATACTGTAGGCAATTGTAACACAATGGTATTTTTGTATCTAAACATATCTAAAAGAGGTACAGTGAAAATATGGTATAAAAGATTTTTTAAATGGGGATTTGTCCATTCGGAGCCCCCCACCCTCTGTACGGGGGAGCCATTTTCTTCTTTCTTCTTTCTTGCCTATTAAACTTTCCACTCCTTAAAAACCAAAAATAATCAAAAATTTAAAAAATTTTTAAAAAATGATACCCCCATATAGGGCACTACCATGAAGGGAGCTTGGTGAATGCAATGTGAAGGTCAAGGATATTACTGTAAACTACCGTATATTTTATAAACAACGTATATTTGGATTACACTAAATTTGTTCTTAAAAATTTCTCTCTTCAATAATAAATTTACCTTAGCTTACTGTAGCTTTACAGATTTTTAATTATTTACAACTTTTTACACTTTTGTAATAACAGCTTAAAACACAAACACATTGTTCAGCTGTACAAAAATGTTTCTCATATCCTAGTCTATAAATTTTCTCTCTCTCTCTCCCTCTCTCTTTCTCTCTCTCTCTCTATATATATACTTTTTAAACGTTTTTGTTAAAAATGAAGACTCAAATGAATATATTAACCTGGACCTACACAGAGTCAGGATCATCAGTATCACTGTCTTCCACCTCCACATTTTGTCCCACTGGAAGTTCTTCAGAAGCAATAACATGTGTGGAGCTGCCATCTCCTATGATAGCAGCACCTTCTTCTGGAATACCTCCTGAAGCACCTGCCTGAGGCTGTTTTAAAGTTAACTCTTTTTTATAAGTAGAACGAGTACACAAAATAGTGATTAAAAGTATACTATAGTAAATACATAAATGAGCAACAGAGTAATTTATCATTATCGAATATTATGCACTATACATAGTTGTATGTGATATACTTCATATGGCTGACAATGTAGTAGGTTTGTTTATGCCAGCATCACTACAAACATGCAAACATTTCATTAGGCATTAGGATGGTTACAATGTCACTAGGTGACAGGAATTTTTCAGCTCCATTATAATATTACACATTGACTGCTGTTGACTGAAATGTTGTTATGTAGTATTATACAATGCATGACTGTATTTATTTAAAATTTTCACCATGTTATTTGGTCAAAGCAGTAAATTTGTTTTTTACTTTGCAAAATGTGGGAGAAAGAGAATTTAAGGATCAAATTCTCTTAGGAAAAGTTCTGATTACCTTGATGCTTATAATTATCTTTATGAATTAATGACAGATATCTCACATGGGTGATGTTAGGACATTCATAAATTCTGTAACGGAAGAAAATGCCACAACTTATAGAGAAAGACCTCAAGTTCATTGTGGTCCAGATTTGAAAAATCACAATCTCCCATGGGTTCAATTATTCCAGACTAGCCTAGGTCACTCCTAGCACAGGTACTGAGCATTCCAGGGAAGGCAATCAGTTAATCAAAAAGACTACTAGAGGGACTGGTTTAACTTTGAGAGTCCTGGAGCCACCTGAGACCACTAATGAGATACTCAAAAGTGTATGCTTCATTAGTTTATCCATTAACTTATTGAGTCTTCAAACATCTAGTTACTCTCATCATTTCCTCTTCCCCATGCCATGAGACATTAGATCTTTAACACACAAAAATAACAAATAAGCGCAGTTAATTGTCCTTGCAACATTTTTGGTCCTTCTATACTCTCTCCACTTCATTTCATCTTCATCTCACCCCATCCCACCTATGCCTGAAAAAAAGTCACCCTATAAGCATTTCTTATATAGTATCACCTATGTGGTGCTATTCAACTCAGAAATATTTCGGATAAATTTGTATACATACTGTGGCATATGTGTTGTTCACCAGATATTCTCCTCCTTGTGCACACAATAGTATTATATTTCCTCCCCTTTTTTGAAATTAGGTATGGCAGTGTGACTAGTTTGGTCAATGGATTTTGGGCAAAATTGGGTACAAATTGTTATAACCTTTCCCTTCTGTGGTGGTAACTGGAAATGCTCCAACTGCTACTCAGTTAGACTGAAGTTAGGATGATGTGAAATGAGAATGATACGAAGCAAAATACCAAGTCAGCCCATGGAGAAGTAGTGTGAGCAAGAAATAATCTTTGTTCTATAAAATCTCTAAGATTTTGGGATTGTTTATATTATAGCACAACCTAACCTATCCTGACTGTTTCAAATATAATATAAATAAATATGGCTTTTTCTCACAGCCGGTCATCCAATACATACGATTAGTACCATTTTAAGCTTTCAGCCAGTGAGCATTCAGGTATCATTCTTGTTTTCTTCAGTGGCACTTTGCTATGTTGTTTGTTTGATTTTATCATTAATTTTCCTCTGGTCAGTAATTTTGAGCAATAATAAGAGACTGAATGTACAACTGGCTGTCCTGGAAGTTTCACCTAAATTTTATATCAGGCTAGATGTTATTAAAGTGTGAGACTTCAAGAAAAGAAGGAGGAAATACAGGCTGAAGGCTAATAAAAAATTAGAGATTGGTGGAAGACATTTGGCATTATGAAGGGCAAGCATCACTGCAATCTGGGAGATATTACCAACAATTATATGAATAGTAGCTGGAAGAAACCGTGGCCAAAGATGAGCCATAATCCAGGTGTTTGAAGATAAGGATGTTAGTTATCTCTTGTTATGTAATAACTTTCTCCAACTTGACAGCTTAAAACAAACAAACTTTTTTTATCATAGTGATTTTATGGTCAGGAATTCAGAAGTGGCTTGGATGGGTGGTTCTGGCTCAGGGTCTTTCAAGTCTGAAAGGATTCCTTGCCACATTGATCTCACCATAGGGTGCTTGAGTGTCCTCACAATAGCTATTTCCTCCCAAAGCAAATGATACAAGAGAAAAGGATAGAAGTTTCAATGATTTTTATGACCTAGCTTCAGAAGTCACACTCTGTCATTTCCACAATACCTTATTTGTTGCACAAGTCAGCCCTATTCAATGTGAAAAGAATCAACATAGGATACCAAGAGACAAGGATCACTGGAGGCCATCTCAGGGGCTGGCTACAACAGTGGAAGAGTCTTAGTCAAGATGAAACTCAGGGATTGCAACTCCAAAGGGATACCGCGATGATGGCTTTGCTGTTTGCTGATTTAGTGTTCTCGTTTTAGAAACACAATCTATCCCATCTCATCTGCATCTATCCAATGAGATAAAATAAATAAACACTGTTCAATAGTATAAAATATGATTGAGACTTTTTATGAGGTACTGTATTAAAAACATTTTCTACTTTAACTTTCTGTACAGTTTCATTATTATTTGCATAAAATTGAAAATAATTTAAATGGTTGAACTTTTTGGCATTTCAATTAAGTTCTTCTTTGTTAAAGATACTATTGTCTATTGTGTAAATATCAAGATATATTAACCAAAAAATTAAATTATATTTTTTCTGAAAGCAAAATCTTTTTTAAAAATTTAAGGAAACAACAATTTACATTGTGTAGCAATTACTATCGGCTGTAACTGTACACTTTTGGAATAATTATTTCCTCAGATATTTGTACCATGATTGATAAACACCCCCTGGATTTCTCATGTGTTTAAAATTTGAAACATTTCTTGCCAGATTCACTATAAACTTGTAAGAATTCTCATTTGAAGAAAAGTTTGTTTTTTATTATTCCACAAGAAAGACAAATACAATGAAATATTTAATTTACAATTTGTTAGTAAAGATATTACTTCTACCCATGTTTGAAATTAAATTAACATTTAAAAATCGTTTTTGGCCAGGCACAGTGGCTCAAACCTGTAATCTCAGCACTTTGGGAAGCTGAGACAGGAGGATCTCTTGAGGCCAGGAGTTTGAGACCAACCAGCCTTGGACAACATAGTGAGACCCCATCTCTACAAAAATTAAAAAAAAATAACCAGGCATGATGGCACTTGCCTGTAGTCCTAGCTACTTGGGAGGCTGAGGCAGGAGGATCACTTGAGGCCAGGAGTTTGCGATTACAGTGAGCTATGGTTGCGTGACTGTACTCCAGCCTGGCAAAAGAGCAAAACTCTGTCTCTAAAAAAAGGTTTAAAGACTAAAGTAAAATTCATTTTTATTTTTCTTTTTTTCAGAAAACATACAGCTTGATGGTAACAAGAACATGATCATCAATGGGACACCTACATTCCTTTCTTTTCATCAACCAAAAATATGCTCTCTAGGCTATCCAAGTTTACTGATGGCGCTCATTTCAAAAGTTATTCTACTTTTGTTTGTTTGTAATCTGTAATATGTTTTTCTCCATAGAAATAATGGTAAAAATAATAGCAAGGTAACCAAATTAGTACTTGGAAAACTTCTTAACCAGGAGAATTCCTCAATCTAGTATTTTCAAGCTATGGAATATAATCCCCTTGTATGGAAAAGCCTAAAGATGAGGCTTACTGCAAGGATGTGCTATAGCTTCTTGTGGTTTGATTGAGGGAAAAAATTGAAGTCTTAAGCTTCTTCCTTTTCTTCCTAGTAACCTAGATATATCTACTTTTCTTCGCTTTACCCTTCCCTTTGGTTCTGCCTAGAATTTATCTCTTTCCTTGGTTCACATAGACACACAGTTTACTTCAATAATAATAGTAGCTAACACTTTTTAAAGTGCTTACTGTATATCAGATGCTGGTCCAAGCATTCCATGTGCATTATTTCATTTCATTACTAGGAGTAAATCATTTTATGTTAGCCCTATTATACAGATGAGAGAGATAAGGAATATAGAAGTTGAATAACCTGGCAAAAATTATGATGCTAGTTGGTAGTAGAATAAGAATTTAAAATATTTAAATTTGGGTAGTTTGACTCTGGAGCCTAGTTTTTGTTAACCATGAGAAAATAGACAAATAGATGTTTGATAGTTGGTAGATAGATAGATTACACACACACACACACACACACACACACACACACACACAATTTTACCCCTACTAACATGAAAATGGAAATAAAACTACACCTATCTTATTTTAAAAATTTAGCCACAGTGGGAAAAGCAAAGCCTCATATATCAGCAAAAGCATGTGCATTTCATCTCCATTTCATGGAAAAAATCTAGAAATATTTTAAAAAAAAAATACTTTCTAGAATTGAGGCAGTAGCTCTGAATAGACAAGGAAAGAAGTAAATGCACTCTCACAGTGGATTCTGGCCTGAGTGGGGAAATCACAGCAATTTCTTGAAGAGATCTGAAGGGAGCAACCCTTCTTTCTCTCCATACCAGATGGTCCCACAGACCTTACCCTGGACCAGACTTCAACCAACACTGGAGAAGATGAAAAGGAGGCCTTGGGGTACTGAGTTCGCCAGCTGGGAAAGGAGCCCAGCATAGGGATACACTTAGGCTCACATGGTGCAGAGCAAAGAAGGTAGGAGGAGAGAAAAACACAAAGCAGCACATATTTACTTCTGCTGTTTCAAAAACTGATTAAACAAATATATAAAGTGAAATTTGTAAGCATACTGTTTTACACAAAAGTTAACACTGAAAAATCTTAAGTCATTTAATGCTAATGCTACTTCATTTCTTTAATCCATTGCTGATAGCTGGGAACAGAATCAAACACCACAGACACCTCTTGAGCTAGTCATGAGTGACTTATGAGACTAAGCTGTTCTCAGTCCCAGAAATTAGAAATCCTTCTCCAATGTACATTCTTTCACCCTTGCCAGGAAAAAGGATGCATTTTCCCACTAGGAACTGAACAAGGTCACCTTGGCCCAGGTTGTCAGGAACTAAAACAGTAACAAACAGTTGTCTGCAGAAAGAACGCAATATTTCTATTAAACATTTCTAACATTTCTTTAAAAAGAAAAGATATACTAATTTGTAAAAGTTTAATGAATGTTTAACAACTATGAGATAATTTGGTTTATTAGTGCAGCTAAGTAATTCTGTTAATGAATGAATGAGTAAATAAATGATTAGTCCACCAAACAAGTAGTGAGTTGACTTACTCTAGATAGGCAGAAAGGCAGTAGTTTTGATAGCAAATAAAATCCAGATGTTAGCCTGTTGGGCACAAATGGAGACTGTGCATGTCTTTATAGAAGGAGGTGCTGATGTTGGCTACTGTAGGAAAAACTAGACATTTATAATAAAAGAAAAACTTGCTGGGCATGGTGGCTCACGCCTGTAATCCCAGTACTTTGGGAAGCCAAGAAGGGTGGATGACCTGAGGTTAGGAGTTCGAGACCAGCTTGACCAACATGGTGAAACCTGTCTCTACTGAAAATACAAAAATAGCTGGGCATGGTGGTGCACGTCTGTAATGCCAGCACTTTGGGAGGCCAAGGAGGGTGGATGACCTGAGGTTAGGAGTTCGAGACCAGCTTGACCAACATGGTGAAACCTGTCTCTACTGAAAATACAAAATTAGCTGGGCATGGTGGTGCATACCTGTAATCCCATCTACTCGGGAGGCTGAGGCAGGAGAATAGCTTAAACCCAGGAGGTGGAGGTTGGAGTCAGCCGAGATAGTGCCATTGCACTCCAGCCTGGGCAACAAGAGTGAAACTCCATCTCAAAAAAAATAAATAAGAACTTTTCATGTACTGACAAACATTGTAGTGGGAGTTTGGAATTTGGATATTCACGACTGATTCTGAAATGAACTAGTTTTGTGACTTTAGGAAAACTATTTTTCTTTTTTTAGGTTTTGGCTTCTTTTATAAAATTAGAAAGCTGGGGAATAAGTACTCCCCAGAGTATGCTTTGGAACACCAGCTCTTTGAGAGAAATACACACAATTTTTTGTTTGTTTGGTTTTGAGAGAAGATCTTACTCTATCACCCAAGCTAGAGTGCAGGGACATGAACATGGCTCACTGAAGCCTTGACCTCCTGTGTTTAAGTGATCTTCCTGCCTTGGCTTCCCAAGTAGCTGGGACTACAGGTGTATGGCACCATGCCCAGCTAATTTTTTATTTTTATTTTTTGTAAAGACAGGGTCTCACCATGTTGCCCAGGCAGGTCTCAGACTCCTGATCTCAAGCAGTTCTCCCACCTCAACCTCCCAAACTGTTGGGATTATAGGCATGAACTACCATGCCCGACTTTTTTTTTTTTTTAATGCAAGAGTTTCTAGTCCAATTATGTTTTAGTTAGGGTTTCCTAAAGCTACACATTATGAAATACCTATCTCAAGCTAGCTAAACTAAAAAATGGGGATTATCCTCTCAGATAGCTGAAAAGTGTAGGGGTAGAGGGGGCCATTGGCCTAGGTGACTCTGTGGCTTGAATATCATTGGTACCTGTATCACGGGAAGAATAATGTTCCCCTAAAGGTGTTCATGCCCTGACACTAGAAACTGTGAAATCCTACCTTATATGGCAAAAGGGACTTTGCAGATGTGATTAAGGGTTAAGGAGATTATCCTGGGCCCAATCTAATCACACAAGTGCTTAAAAGTGAAAGAGGAATACATAAGGGTTGGTCAGAGAAATGGACATGATAAGGCCTCAGCCCACTGTTGATGACTTTGAAAATGAAGGAAAGGAGACACAAGCCAAGGAATGTGGTGTCCTTTAGAACTTGGGAACAACCCTCAATTGAACAGGCAGAAAGTAAATGGGGCCTTGGTCCTACAGTAGCAACCCAAAGAAGCAGAAATTAGATTCTCCTTTAGTGCTTCCAGAAAGAAACACAGCCCTGCCCACTCCTTGATTTTACTCTAGTGACCTATAACATACTTTGACTTCCAGAACTGTAGGATCACAAATTTGTGTTGCTTTAAGCCACTATGTCTGTGGTAATTTGTTACAGCAGCAACAGAAAACTAATACAAGTTGGTGCTTTTCATCTCCGGATTCTGCATCTTTGTCAGCCCCTTTCACAAGCCAGGTGCTTCCAACAGTTTCAATCTCCTTCCCATTGTCTTAATAGCATTTTTGGAAAGAAAAGGCTTCTTCCCTAGTAAATTCTGGAAACGTTCTTGGCCTGCTTTCCATTCACTAGAAATGGATCATGTGTCCACCACATGCTATTGATATAAATCACATGCCTATTTCTAGACCTGAGGTCAGCTCCTTCCCAACCACATGCAGTGAGATTGGGGAGGAAGGAGTTCCATAAAAAATAACTGGAATACAGATAGAACTTATGCTGGACAGCCAAAACAAGTGTCCACTAAGAATGACTTTGAAAAATTCTCTGTGAAATAAATAGAAACAATTTTCTCTATCAGGATTTCTTAGAGCCTGTAATATACATAATGAATATCCAAGAAGAGGAATATACTCTACTATACTTCCCAAATATATTAGTTTTCAATTACTGCTGTAACAAATTGCCACACATTTACTGGCTTAAAACCATACAAATTTATTATCTTACAGTTTTGGAATTCACAAGTACACAATGGGTCTTCATGGCTACAACCCTTTTAGAGGCTTTAGGAGAGAATCTTTTTCCTTGCTTTTTTCAGCTTATGGAAGCTGCCTGCATTCCTGGGCTAGTGGGCCCTTGTTTCATCTTCAAAGCCAGCAGTGGAGCATCTTCAAATCTGTCTCTGACTGCCTCTAGTCCTTCTGTCTCCCTCTCATAAGAACCCTTGTGATTACATTGGTGCCATCTGGCTCACCCCCCTACCTCAAGATCTTTAACTTAATAAGATTTGTAAACTCCCCTTTGCCATGAAAGGTAACATATTCTCTGGTCCCCAGGATTAGGGTATGAGCATCTTTGGGAGCCATTATTCTGTCTACCACATCAAACTTATTTTATGATGTAAAGCAGCCTGCAGTAAACTATGGCCCATGAGCCAGATTCCACCTGTTGCCTGTTTTTATCTAGTCCATGAGCTAAAAATAACTTCTACATTTTAAAAGGGTAAAAAATAACACAAAGAAGAATATGCAACAAAGACCATATGTGGCCTGAAATACCTAAAATATTTACTATCTGGCTCTTTATGGAAAAAATTTGCTTATTCCTGATGTAGAGTGTCTTACAGTATTAGTGCTGTTTGGAACACAGATACAAGAAAAATAGACTAGATGATTGTTTCTAGTTGCTTTCCCCCTCTATCATTTTCATTTATGTGTTAAATGAACAGTTACTGATCACCTATTTGTGTGAGGTGCTGTTCTAGCCACTGGGGATATTAAAATATAAGTCATAGTCCCCGCTTCAAGCTACTTACAGTCTATTAGAAAAATAATCTATGGCCAGGAGCAATGGCTCACACATGTAATACCAATATTTCGAGGGGTCGAGGCAGGCAGATCACTTGAGCTCAGGAGTTCCAGATCAGTCTGGGCAACATGGAAACACCTGGTCTCTACAAAACGATACAAAAATTAGCCAAGCATGGTGGCACACACCTGTAGTCCCACTACTTGGGAGGCTAAGGTGGGAGGATGGCTGGAGCCTGGGAAGCTGAGGTTGCAGTGAGCCAAGATCACACGACTGCACTCCAGCCTGGGTAACAGAATGAGACTCTGTCTCCAAATATATATATGCAAATATATATACGCACACAAATATATATATATATATATATATAGCAGTAAGTGTAAAAGAGTACTTTAGGCTGCTTTAGCATCCTAGGCTGTGTTCAGGGGAGTAAAGAAGATGCCTTTTGGTGGGAGCTTAGCACATGTCCCTTTCTCTGGGAACTATCTACTCCAGGTACAGAGTTGGACACATGCAATTATTTCTGCAATGTGTGACCCTGCTCTGTGGTCACCGGTGAATAGTCCAGGATTGACACCCATTTTAAGCCAGACTTTTTCTCCCAGGAATTTAAATTAGCAGTCACATTGGATTTTAACTTGTTCATAAACCACTAATTCCCGGCATCATGACTGGCACGTAGGAGACTTCATTATGTGTTTGTGGAATGAATGAGTGAGTGCTGCCATGTGTTCTCATTTCTCAGTTGGCAAAGCTAACATCGAAGGAATTTTAACCATAAAAGAAATTCGAAACACCTTTAGTAACTGCTTTCACCCCTATAGAGATGGGCTAGCACGGAAAAGTAAAAGTTCTTTCTATAACAGAGTAAGGCACAGAATACGTGAGATTTAGACTGACTAGAGCTCTCTTTCCCTCTTGGTCATTGCATTTTGGGTTCAGGCCTACACTAACAGGCCTGAATCTAACCCTATGCTGCCTAGATCTTTAATCCAGGACTCAATCCTCCATGCAAAGTTAATTCCTTATTTGTGTTCCCATGATACTGTGTCCATATTTTTATGTACCACTTAGACTGAACTGCAATGATCTGTTTACTAGACAGTTTCCCTCACTGGCTTAGGAGTTCCTATTGTGCCTCTGTATGATAAAATTCAATAACGTGTCATAAAGGAAGGAAAAAATAAATTATATAATACAAATGTTTAAAAAATTAACAATCACAGATGCTGTCTCTGTAGGTGTTGGGAAGGAATAGGAAGTTGGGGTAGCTACATTTGCCTTCTTGTACTTAAAGATACATAAAAGTCTATGGACAAAGAATAAAAAATATGAGCAGATATGCAGAGAGAAGAAGAGGTCTGAGACCATGTATTTCTGGATTAATAGAGATATTTCCATGCTCCAGGGCCTCATGACCACTATCCATGGTGCTGGAGCAGATACTGGGGATCTCCTGGTAGTTAGTTTCTGTTTGTACAGAGAGATCCAGGGAGAGTGGCTGCAGTGGCTGGGCTGGCTCTTGTAGGAACACAGGTCGTGGCTATTTAGCAACTATTATGGAAATGTTTCAAGATTTTAGCCAATGCTATGGCTGTATCTGAGCATACCTGCTTATATCTGCATTATAAAGCCTCACTTTCACTGAAAATAGTTGAAATCCATTTCTGCTACTTGTAAACAATCTTCAAGAAGGGCATGGATTTTAAAGGAGAAAGGAATGCATTCTACCTTTCAGGTCAAGAAAAAAAGTATAGTGCAAGTAACACCAGAGCTGACTCAGGAATGTTGAGAAAATGCGTGCCACTGGGAAGGTAAGGGAGACAGTTCAAACAGCAAGGATGCAGGTAGACGCATGAAATGGCTTATGCCTGCCATTGTATTAAGGATTGTGAGTACAAAGACAGGTACAACAGATATGGTTCCTGCCTTCATGTAGCTTAAAGCCTAGTGTGTGAGACAGACAAACTTACAATTACAATACAATATGATATATGATGAGCATCTGTGATAGAAAAGTATCTATGACTGATTTCTGACAAAATGTATAAGAAGGGCCCTTTATTCAGACTTTGAGGGTCAAGGAATTTTCCAGGATTAGGTTACACCTAAATCAGAAACCTTAGGATTAGTAACAATTAACTGAACAAAGATAGCAGCATGGCAGGAGTTGGGGAGTGGGGGAAGGACTTCAGATGGAAGGAACATCATGTGCAGAGGCCCTAAATTATATTCCTTCTACTTAAGACACTTAGACTGCTGTCTTTTTCATGCATGAACCTTTCATGGATGAGCCCTTTTACATGGACTCGTTCATTAAACCAGGAACACAACAGGAAGAATATCTGAGGAAGGGAAAGATGATGGTTCAATGCTGAACACGTTGAGTTGAAATTGTCTGTGAACATCTGGCTGTTTTTTTCAAAAACAAAAAAAGACATCTCAATATTTGGGTGTGAAACTTTGAAGAGTGGCCTGAATTGGAGAAAAGACTTGGGAATAACCCACATGTAGATCATGAGTAAAAGCCTAAGAGTGCATGAGATTACCTGAGTAGTAAATGTAGACGGGGAAAAAGCCAAGAACATAACTCCAAAGAATAATTAATGCAGAAAAAGAACTGAGAGGGAAAAATTTTAAATGTTAAGGAAAATCAGGAGAGTAGAGTGTCACAGATGCCAAGCTACACAAACATTTCAATGAGGAGAGATGGTTGACTGTGTCAAATCCTGCTAAGATGGTCAAGTAAGAGAGGGCTAAAAGTGTCTACTGGATTTAGCAAAAAGGAGGTTTTGGTCATCTTGATAAGAACAGTTCAGAGAATTTATGGGAACAAAAGTCAGACTGCAATAGTTCCATAGTCATTTGCAAAGAAGTAGGAGCTGAAGCCATGAGCTCCATGTATCACTCAGGGAAGCAATGAAACAGAGGTGGGCACATTTTTCAACTTCTGATTAATTAAATTCCAGAAACAGAGAACTATTAATTGGGTGTAATTTTCAATTCAAGATTAAACTAATTTAATTAAATTCTTTAGGAAAAAAAGTGAATTTCTACATTTAGGTTATCTGTTTTATTGAATAAAAAAATTATAAATGAAAAAATCAAACATTTTCTTTCAGTCATCAAATTAGTAATAACTAGGCACATTTATTAGTAACATGGAGGTAATTCCCTAATCTTTTAACCTTGACATCTGCATAACACCTCAGGGTTCAAAAATATTTGTTCAGCCTTAAAATTAAATTTCCAGGAAAGCATTGTTATTATTATTTTCTCTGTTTTACACATGGAGAATCTGAGGTCCAGAGAGTGTGAAGTGACTTTTCTGAGGTCACTCAGCACCTCAAAGTGGTACGGTTAACATCATTCATTCAATTCAATGAAATAGTCCCCCAATACCTATTGTGTACCAGGCCTTGTGACAAGTGTTAGTTATGAACATGGATGAGATGCCCCTTGTCACCACCAACTGTCTCCATACTACAGCCCTATGGCTTCTCTAGGACAGACAGTAATGGATAGAGTAGTGCATAGTGGGGTGAACCAAGAAAACAAGTGCAGCACTAATGCCTCACTCCCAGAGCATCCTACCTCTTCTACCAAGGGCTGGGTTTGAGTTTTTCCTCACATTCAGAGATTTCAGTCTGCTATAGGTCTTAGCCCAAGCCTCATGTAGTGTCACTTATGGGTTGCTCATTATTGGTATGTAGTGAGGAAAAAGAGCTCTCTACACAGATAGACCCTAGAAGAAGCTAGAGGAAGAAGAGCCTGTGAAGAAAACTAAGAGAAACTGTCAGAACTTTAGGAAGAGAATCAGGAGTTATTGGTATCAGCTTCACTAAGGAGGGGAGATTTGTTCTGTGAAGGAATTCTCGGCATTGTCAAATGTCACAAGGAATTTAAACAAGGTGAAGTTTTAAAGTGTCCATTGGATTTTGCCAATAAAAGGTCATTGGTGACTTTGCCAACGCATTGTTCACTGGCCAAATATAGTTGTACAAGCTGTTGACTGAACAAAGACACCAACCTATTTTCACTCATTTAGCCATCTTTAGAGGAAGAGATGCACTTTTCCTAATTGAATCAAACTCCTGTTACAGAGAGTTGAAGATGAAATAGAAGGAAAACAAGAGGGCATATCCTAGGATCTAAGCTCAGTTCTCCTGTTGGGCAACTTTAAACAGCCAGAAACAAGAATTTTCAGTGTGGCAGGAAGAGATTAATCAGAAGAGAGGGGTTAGAGGAATAAATGGAAAGGGAGAAAAGGAAAAAGGAACTGTGATGAAATGTGGGTTCTGGCTTTTCTTGCTAATAACTCCTAGCTTTTTATACTCTTAATCCTTAAGTTTGTAGGGGGCCACATAGTTTTAAAGGTTGTTTTACATTGCAATTGATTCTTTGAAAACCTTAGGAGATGTGTAATTGAGCATTCTTTTCTCCCTTCCACACATGAGGAAACTAATAGGCAAGAAGTTCAATGCAAGTGATGGAGCCAGAGAATGTATGTTGTAATGGATCGAGGATGGACCTTGCTTGCAAATTCAGGTGCTCATTCTAGCACAGTCACTAGGAGTAAGTTACATCAAACCACAGGGTCTCTGTTTGCACAGTTGTTAAATGGAACATGTAATGCATATTCTATAAGGATGTGAGGATAAACCAAACACCTGGGATAGAGCCAAGCACAATCAATGTACACAACCCCTTCTTCATCTAGAACTCATATTCAGGTTATCTGACTCCTAGTTGATAGTTATAAACTTCATGGCTATTCTGGTCATTTACTCATTTATTTATTTTCAAATCTGTGTAGGCTTTGGCTTAATGAGAGTCCAAGAGAGTTACTTGCAGAAATTAAGTTTCTTACTGTTTTTCAAACAGAATCTCTCCAATTGTGCCATTACAATTTGGAATACCTCTAAAAATTACCTATCTTGCTTCCTGCAGATGTACTCAGATAACTAATAGAGTTTTGTGGCTTTCAGGGAATGGAGAAGGAAGAAAGCATGATTTTTGTGTTAAACTATGGTATTATTAAGATGTAAGAATTGTTGCTGATTTTATAGCACATATTTTATTGTACATCACATAAAACTCTACTTATATGATTAGAGAACAAGAATACTAGGGGGAAAATCAGCATGCATATAATCTAAGAAATTGTCATTATAATTTTAAAATCCTTTGCAAAATCAGTAAATATGAGTTTAACTTATATAATGATACACACACACACTGATATGATGCTTTATTGTCTAAACACTGGCTGCTTGTGGAGACGTATTCTGGTAACAAAAAATATAGCATCTTAAAATTGATGCTAGCATTGTATATCCAAATAGAGAGTAAATGCAACCAGAATATTTTTTATATGTTTAACATTGTAGTGTTGCTGACATCATTATATATTTGGTTATGTTAATCTCAAAATGCACAATATAGCTGTATGATCTGTATAATGCAAAAAAATGTAGAGCTTCATTTTGATATTTATTATCAGATTATCATCGTGTATCAGCTTTAAAGAATCTGATCTTGAGAACAATATGTACTTTTTCTTCTAATATTGTACCACAGGATATGCTAGATTTGGCTGTAGAGAATTCTCTCTGTATTCCTGGGTCTATGTAAAAACCCTCTTGCAGGTAAACAATGAAACAAAAAAGAGGCATGTAAACAGCTGGTTTATATAGATTTTTCAAAATGCTTGTATTCTGATCCAAAATACGTGTGGAATTTGTTTTAGGCTTTGGGAAATAAAAATGGAAGTTACTCCAGCTGTGAGTCAAGAAATTAATTCCAGGAAAAAGAAAGAATACTTCCTTTCCTAAAAGACAGCAACAAAATATGTTCTTGGTTTGGATGTGTTTCTTGATTTTGTGTTATTGGCTAAGAAATATACCTGCCCAGAAGAGCAATAGCATCTAATATGAAATTATTAACCTATTTCATATCTCTATTATGGGAACATCCCCATTCATAATGTTCCAGTTTATAAAGACGATTGACTTACAGTGTTACTCTTCAAAGTAGTAAAGAAAGGATTTGCAAAAATGTGTGTGTGTGTGTCTGTTTTTGTGTGTGTGTGTTTCATACTGTTTAGTGTCCATGAAAATTGGGTAGTAAAGTGAGAAGTCTTATTTATCAGGGATAGAAAAAGCGCAGAACAAAGTTTTACGTACAATAAACTCATTAGAAAAATCCTTGTTTACTAACAAATTCAGTTATTCCATGGTTAAAATCAGTTCATTCGTGCTTTCACTGTATCTCAGAAACTATTTATTTGGGTTTTATTCTCATTCCCTAACTCCACATTTGAGTAGTGCTCTACCATATCTTTCTGTTTAGCCATTGTTAACAGCTGTTATGGCTGAGCAGTCTGTATTCCTTTTCCCTGTTAAAAAAAATTTTAATGTTTCCCAACAGGTGCTGGAGAGGATGTGGAGAAATAGGAACACTTTTACACTGTTGGTGGGACTGTAAACTAGTTCAACCATTGTGGAAGTCAGTGTGGCAATACCTCAGGGATCTAGAACTAGAAATACCATTTGGCCCAGCCTTCCCATTACTGGGTATATACCCAAAGGATTATAAATCATGATGCTATAAAGACACATGTACACATATGTTTATTGCGGCACTATTCACAATAGCAAAGACTTGGAACCAACCCAAATGTCCATCAATGATAGACTGGATTAAGAAAATGTGGCACATATACACCATGGAATGCTATGCAGCCATAAAAAAGGATGAGTTCATGTCCTTTGTAGGGACATGGATGAAGCTGGAAACCAGCATTCTTAGCAAACTATCGCAAGGACAAAAAACCAAACACCGCATGTTCTCACTCATAGGTGGGAATTGAACAATGAGAACAAGTGGACACAGGAAGGGGAACATGACACACCGGGGACTGTTGTGGGGTGGGGGAAGGGCAGAGGGATAGCATTAGGAGATATACCTAATGTAAATGACGAGTTAATGGGTGCAGCACACCAACATGGCACATGTATACATACGTAACAAACCTGCATGTTGTGCACATGTACCCTAAAACTTAAAGTATAATAAAAAAAGTAAAAAGAAAAATTTTTGTAATGTTTCCTAATTCATGCTTTTTACTAAACATTGCCATATCATATTTAAATTAACAATTTGATCCAAGAATGGCATCAAAACTTTTTTATTAGGAGATAAAATGGGCCTATAACTTTTTGCCAATTTCAAGCCAACCTCAATGTCTCTGGTATTTAGTAGGCTGCTAAAGAATATATTGGACCTGCATAACACAAGCTTACCTATGTAACAAACCTGCACATGTACCCTTGAACTTAAAGTTAAAAAAAGGAAGATACATGTACCTTGAACTTAAAGCTAAAAAAAAGAAAGATATTGAAACAAACCTTGTAGATATGACTGAGAATAAAAACTTTCACAAAAAGAAATGTGCTGGTTGTTCTAAGATTATGATTACATCCAGAATCATAACTCAGATTCTATCTATATATGTATATATAGATATAGATATATCATATATATATATATAAGTTTTTTAGTAGACTACAGCTAATTTAACGATTCATTCAATATTATACATCCTATGCCAAACTGACAAAAGATACTTTTTATAACCTCTATAACGCTTTATTCTAATGAACATATTTATTCATAAAAACAAACTAGATGCTTCTTCCTTAATTATTCTTACTTTACTTGGTATCCTTATTTGAAAAGAAAAACAGAATGCCAAAGAATAAAATTAATCTGCTGACATTATGAATAATTTGAGAAATAAAACAGTCTGGAGCACTAGTAAAGATATGCCAAGATCTTAGTAGGGATTATATTTAGGTGGTCAGATTAGTGGTGATTAAAAAAAAATTTTTTTGAATCTTTCCTTTGTGCTTCTCTGCATTTTAAAAATTATCTTCATTGGCTATTTAATATTTTTTAAATTAGGAGGATGTTATAAAGATATCCTCATTAAAAAGGAGAGGGAAAAACTATTCAGTTCACTCTCGTCGGTGGTCATGATGTTCAGTTCATGCCAATCCACCATCCTCTGCCATTAAACTCCCTGGTGACAAGGAGTCACCAAGACTCCTTGAGAGCAAGGAACACCAGTATTAATGGCAACAGGCCAACAAGAAATGGAATGAGTGACTTTGTTCTCAAGCTCCTGGTTATGAGTTTATACTTAAAATATTCTCAGGTTTGATTATGATTGCTCAACCTACTTGAAGAAATTCATCATCTGATTATAATTACTTAGTTTTTCCCCAAGTATTGGGGTTTAAATGCCTCCCATTACTACTAAACATATACTGATCAAAATTGCTTTGTGATTATCAGGTATATAACGGTATTTTTACAGAACATATATAAAACCACTATCTTCATTTTAAAGCATACTTTGTAAAGTATTTTACAAAGGCAAAAGCACTTTTAACTTATTTTGCAAACGGAGAAGAAAAGATCATTTCTGTTAACCTTTATCTTTACTCAATATTAAATCACCTGACACATTTGTCATTTCCCCCACATTTGGCATTTTCTGCACATTGTTAATGCTGATTCTATCTGGTCATCTGCCAAAGGGAAATCAGGTGTCAACAGTCACTTTTGTGTTTGCGTCCCTACAGGAAATGAAGACATATTCTTTTGGTTTCAAAAAATCCATAAAAAGTGACAAATTCTTATAGCATATTTAAAACACATATTTTTAGGATGCTGAACTTACAAGTGTAATTTTTCCATAGTTGCGTAAGCCAGAGAATAAAGACAGATCTGGAGCCCAAGAATACTTCCTTCAAATATTAGGGTTTTAAAATTCAAATCATTATACATACAGTGTTGGAAAACATGGCCTAAACTTCTTGCCTTTTTTGTAACAGGTAATTTTAGAAGACAATAAAAAAGTAATTCAAATGGTACTGAAAATTTTAAAAATGATACTAAAAGTAAAAATTACTTGATAGAGAAATAATCTATTCAAATAGTCCTAAGCGAATCGGTTTGAATTACCTAATGGTACAAATGGAGATGTATGTTTCTTAGGGGGCCAGTACTGTGAGTCAAGAGCCATGCCAGTTCCACCCTCAATCAATACTGTGACTTTGGTCAAAACCCAGGACCTCTCACGGCTAAGGTACCTTAGCCACACTTTACACAGCGATTTTCATCAGTGTATGATTAATGGTAAAGGAAAGAATATTTAAGCCCATAATAATGAAGGATTGGACCTGATAATCTATCAGGTACATTTTAGCCTGAAATTTATTTGTACACACGCACAAACACAGACATGTGCACACACACATACACATATATATATAACATTTATAAATTTTAAAACATAAAGCTATACTAGAAATGAAAGCTTATATATTGAACTGCCCCACCTTTCTATTTGCAGCCAGCTACCACCCCAGTCTAATGTTTCACTTTATATAAATTCATTTATTCTTTTACTCATTTCAAATATATGATGATGTAACTATAAAATCAACATTTAGTCACTCTGAATAACCCAAAATAGCAAATAATTTAAAAATCACTTCCACTTGACTTTAGAATCTATTACATGCATTGTTTTTCCAGAAAATTTACCTCATAATTATGTTGTGTGAGAGTGAAATGAGTTTCAATTCCAAATTCACACATTGAATTCTGACTGCCGCTTGATGAGAAGCATCCCTGGGTTAACATTTGCCATGTTGCCATGGATAATTAGGACTGATTGCATGTGTTTTTAACTCTAAATTTGGTATCATCTCTTATGAGCCCAGGTTACCATTTACTGATTTATATCCTTTTTTTGGACTTTGTCAGGATCTCATCTTTTCCTTTTACAATTTTTTTAGAATGTGTGTATTCTGCAGGAGGCTTTTCATTTCCATACTCCATATAAGCATTATCTCCTCTGTTTCAGTGAGAGTTACCTAACTTAATAAAAAAGTAGAAAATCCTTTAAATAGAGTGCTCTCACTGAAGTTTACTGTATTTACAAGATGTTATTATACAAGAATAATTCTTAACTGCATCCCACCCCACTAAACCTTCATTGTAAACTGAACTCAATTCAGGTCCACCCAGGTGAAGTCCGCTCTTCTTGCCTAGTGACTTTCTCACTTCCCGGGTCATCTTTCACCATCAGAACTTTGAACAACTCTCACTCTATTCACTCTGCATGTAGGTGCCTTTGTCAGCCTATTTTACTCTATCCCTGGATTTTTTTGTTTTTAATTTTAGAGTTCCTCTCGGCCAACAACCCCAGAAAGTTTGCTTTGTGTATAATAATACTTCAAAGACCCACTTCCCAGAGGTATACTGTATTTTGACTACTGAAATACTATCATCTGGATTTATTAGCCTCTTTATAAGCTGAAACATTAATAATTGATTATGTCACAAAGGTTCAGCCTAATGTTACTTTTAGTATAGTGTTATTAATTGCTACATTTCTAAATATAATTTTTAAAAATATCTGGGGCTTCATTTATGTATTCATTCAACAAATATTAATGACTGCTTGTTACAGACCACCACTGTTCTAGCTGCTATGGGAACAGTAGTTAACATAGCAGATCAAATGCCTGTTCTCCTGGATAATATTTTCTACTCGAGCGAGTTGAACAACAAACAAAAAGGGAAAATATCAGATAGTGATATGAGCTACGAAGGAAGAAAAACAACAGGGTAATGGATAGAATGTGTGCAGGTTAAGATTTAGATTAAGTGGTCAGGAAAGACATCAGAAGAGGTGACATTTAAGCTGACTTCCAAATGACCAAAAAAAAAAGCAAAACAAATGACCAAATGTAAGATCTGGGGCATTAGAGCAGATGCTAAGGCTGTAAGGAGGTGTAAACTTGGCTTGTAAATGGGCAGACTCTCTGGTTGGGATGCAGTGAGTAAGGGGAAGAGTGGGATGAAATGTGGTAGAGGAGGGAAGCAGGGTCCCAACCACATAGGGCATTGTAGGCTGTGGAAAGAGAAAGCAGGGGGAAGCCATCAGATGATTTAATGGAGTGAGGCACACTCTTTTGTTTTTAAAAGATGATTCACTGAGTGGAGACTAGACTGTGGAGTGGCAAAGGTGGAGCCGATAGATCAGTTTTAGGAGGTCTTTGGCATCACTCAGGTGAGAGACAGTGGTCTTGGACTGAGATGGTAGCTGTGGCATGCTGAGGAGTAGACATATTCAGGATATGTTTTGAAAGTAACACTAATACAACTTGCTCCAGGATTGATTGAATGTAAAGGAAATACAAAATTAGACTGATTCTGAGATTTCTTGCCTGGGCTGCAGGGTAGATAATGGTGCAGTTTGCTGCAGGGAAGATGACTATAGGAAAGGAGCATTGTTGGAAAGCACAGGGAACCTCATCAAGTTTTGGTATGCTAACTTTGAGATGCCTGTTAAACTGCCAGCAAAGATCTCAAGCAGGCAGTTGGGCTGTAAGTCTGGAGGTCAGGTGAGGTAGGGCTACACATATAACTATAGAAGCATACATAAGATCAAATAAAATAATACATTTAAAAATCTTCCAATTTTCAAATAGTACTCAATATGATCTCATGTTTTCTCTTTCATGGGGAGAGAGAATCAGAAATGGAGGCTAGTTGTCCCACTTTGAAGGCGGAGGTGCAGAAAGCCATCTTTCTTTGACGTAGTCCTTTTCCAAACTCACTTATTTTATATTTCTATTTTTTCTTTGTTCTGATTCTTTACTCTCTCTTTTTTCATTTCAATAGATTTGGGGGTACAGGTGGCTTTTGGTTACATGGATAAGTTATTTAGTGGTGATTTCTGAGATTTTAGTGCACCTGTCACCGGAGCAGTGTACATTGTACCCAATGTGTAGTCTTTTATCCCTCACCCCCCTCCCAACATTTCCCCGCCACAGACAGAGTCCCCAAATTCCATTACATCATTCTTATGACTTTGCATCTTCATAGCTTAGCTCTCACTTATAAGTGAGAACATATGCTATTTGGTTTTCCACTCCTGAGTTACTTTACTCAGAATAACGGCCTCCAGCTCCATCCAAGTTGCTGCAAAGACATTATTTCATTCCTTTTTATGTCTCAGTAGTATTCCATGGTGTATATATACATTTTCTTTATATGTAGTGTAAAAGTGTTCCTTTTCATCACATCCATGTCAATATCTATAGTTTTTTTACTTTTTACTTATGGCCATTCTTGCAGGAGTAAGGTGGTATCTCATTGTGGTTTTAATTTGCATTTCCCTGATGATTAGTGATGTTGGCCATTTTTTAATATGTTTGCTGGCTATTTGTATATCTTTTTATTTATTTATTTATTTTTGAGATGGAGTCTCGTTCTATTGCTCAGGCCGGAGTGCAGTGGCATAATCTTGGCTCACTGCAACCTCTGCCCTCCAAGTTCAAGTGATTCTCCTGCCTCAGCCTCCTGAGTAGCTGGGATTACAGAAGCACACCATCACAGCCATCTAATTTTTGTATTTTTAGTAGAGACAGAGTTTCACCATGTTGACCAGGCTGGTCTCGAATTGCTGACCTCATGATCTGCCTGCCTCAGCCTCCCAAAGTCCTGGGATTACAGACCATATTAGAGGCCATTTTATCTTCTTTTAAGAAAAGTCTATTCATGTCCGTTGCACACTTTTTGATGAGATTATTTGTTTTTGTTTTTTTTTTTTCTTGCTGATTTGTTTGAAAAACTCATTTATTTTAAGGATGAAAAACTCATTGTGGCAACTTCATTTTGATGTGCTTATATGGTCAGAGAAAAGACACCTTTTCCTTATCCTTAGATTCTTACTTAAGAATCTGGAGGAAAAGATGCTCATGCGGTAGCTGCAAATATTATTGACATCACAGTATATCATCCAAGAACAAGAGTCAGAAATTCCACAAGCAAACATTCTTGTGTGATTTCCTGGAATATGTTAGAAATAGAAAAGTTTACTCAGAATTCCAATAAGCAGATAAATTTTACATGGTCTTCTGTAGAAAAAAAAAAAACATGCTATGTCTTTTAAATTGCTTTTTTGCTTGTTATCACTAGAGAAGTGATATCAGGACCTGGCTTCCAAAAGATGTATGATGATGTAATAAATAAATGGACGACCATGGTCATTCCGTGACACTTTTTAGTGGAGTCTCTTAAGTATTGCAGGGTTGTATAAACTTGGTTATCCTACAAAATCATACTAAAGATCATCATTCCATATTTTAAAATTGCACAAGTATTTTTGGGTGTATACTATCCAGGTTTTTAAAATGTTAACCAAGTGAATATTGCCACATTAAAAGTTTTTTTTGTTTGTTTGAGACGGAGTCTCACTCTTGTCACCCAGGCTGGAGAGCAGTGGCACAATCTTGGCTCACTGCAACCTCTGCCTCCTGGGTTCAAGTGATTCTCCTGCCTAAGCCTCCCAAGTAGCTGAGATTACAGGCACCCGCCACCACACCTAGCTAATTTTTGTATTTTTGGTAGAGATAGGGTTTCATCATGTTGGCCAGAGTAGTCTCAAACTCCTGACCACAGGTGATCCACCCGCCTCGGCCTCCCAAAGTGTTGGGATTACAGGCATGAGCCACCATACTCTGCGTAAAATTTTTTAGAATATGAAAATGAGGTTTTATCTTTCCGTGCATCTTATTAATTGTAATCATTAATAGATCAGAATCACTTTAAAATTCTCATTTCCCCTTTCATCATAACTATAGATGGAGTTGGACAAGTAAATAAATGTCCAAGTCAGTGAATTTACCTAATGGTCTGTATGTATGCTGTTCTTTGTTGTTGCTGCTGCTGTTTAAAGTTTGTTTTGTTATGCTTTGTTTTAGTGAAGTAGGAACTTTGACCTGAGTGGGTCCACTTGTGATCTCTGAGGAGCTAGGAAGCTATAAAAGTGTAACTACTACAAGCAAAGAAAACCGTCCTCGTTCTCTCCTCCAGCAATATGCAATCCAGTTACTCCTGTAAAACGTCAAATAATAAGCTTTGAAGTTATGGAGTCTTCTCTCAGTAGAACCGCTTCTACAGATTCACTGTTCTCTTCTTTCTTTTAATGCACATAACTATTACTCCATATCAGGCTCTGTTTTAGCCTAAAAAATTATATTGCACTAACAATCTCACTCATCAATGTTTCAAATTCTAAAGAAAAGCATTCTTGTTATTACTTGACATATGTGCTACATTTAATGTCTGTTATTTAACTGCTGTTTATTTGCTCTTTGCATTTCAAATGAATTGTGACATTTTCTTTTCCATTGTCTTATTAATAATGTTCCAAATGTATTATGGGGAACATAGTAATCCTTAACTATAAGCTAGCAGAAAAATCCCAGTTCTTATTACATAAATGGAAATTCAGAATGAGACTAATAGATGTATTTGGGTAAATAATTAAAATTCATTCATTTATTCAATGCATTTATTAAGTCCCAGTTATTGTACTATTGATTGGGGACATTAAGATGTGTATGCTACAGTCCCTCTCTCAAGAGGCTTAGTGTGTAGTGGAGGGAAATGTACATACAAAAGAGTAAGCACACCACTGTTACATGAATTGTGAGAGTAGTGTGGGGAGAAAGAGAGAGAAGCATTTTCAATTCTGTGTAATTGACTTCACAGAAAAGGTGTCCTTTTAAGGCTTTGTGTTATTAAGGAAAAGAAACCACATTATCTGCATAATCCTCATTTCTTTTATTGAATAATTTTATTTTTTAAAAAGTTATCTTTAACAGTATTTTTGCCTCTGTGATGCCAAAGCAATCTTTTGAAAAATAAAAATTTAAACAACTCATTCTTTGGTTTACCAGCATGTTCTCCTCAAACCATTTGGTTGATAATTGCAATACATATTTTGGACATAATTTAGACATAGCCTAGACTCTTGCGTGGAAGCCTCAAAGTTTTTGATGTTACAATCATTGTTCAGCCAAGTGATTCTCTGAATATAATTAAATTCAATTCAACTATGGTTTGAGTGCTCACTTGTTGCTATGAAAATGTACATCTGTAAGTTTATGTTTTGTGACACAATGTAAATTCTACTGCTTTTAGTTTCTATGTAGGCCTAATGATTTTCATTGCAGATTTTTTTCTTCTGATTTTTCTTTTAGAGAAAAAAAACAGAATGTCACTAAATAATAAGAAGAAAAAAACAGGGTTTCCAAGGTAAATGAAAGGAGAATGGGTACAAGAAAGGGTGAAAGTTAATTAACCTATTTTGAAAAACACAGAATAAATTATGGTTATTAACCTTGAAATTAGCTTAAAAAATGGATTTTCTTATTTTAAAGTTTGATGGTCTTCTCTCTCACCTCTCATTTACCCCTCAGCATGAAGATTTCTGTTCCAACCAGTTCATTTTAAATTGCTCTTGACAAGGTCACAATAACCACCTGAAGGTAAGTTCATTTTCCTTTTATTTTGAGCTTCTGGAAATATTTGACATAACTGCCAATACCCATATTCTTGAACATTGTCACCCCTTGACTACATGATTCTAGATTTCCTTTCACCTATTTGGTCACTCTTTTAAGATTATTTCTTAAATATTTATATGCTTCAGTGTTTGGTCCCATGCCCTCTTCTCCTCTTAATTTATACTGGTAGTTCTCAACTTCTTTTTTTGAGCCACTGATGCATTTGAGAATTTGAGGAAAGCTATGTGCTTACTCCAGAAAAAAAAAACCGGTAGATACGTACAAAAAAGTTTTGTGCATTATTTAAGCTGGTTCACTAGATAAGACACCTCTCCCTGTTCTACCCAATTTCGTAATATAATCTTCTCCACTTGCCATCAGTATTCATAGTTCTCAAATTTATGCTTCCAGCTAAGATCTGTTTGCCCCATGTGCCAGATTCATATATCCAACTACCTAGTGGATTTCTCTCATATGTTCCTCAGATGCCTAAAATTCAACATGTCCAAAATGTAACTCCTCATCTTCTTCCCCTAAACCCATGTGTGCCTCCTCCTTTGATCCCTATCTTACTACATGGTACCACCATCAATCCAGTTATGGGCAGAAACCTCTCCTTTAATTTCCTTTGCACACTCCACCACAAGAATGTCTTTTCAATACTTCCATTGCTCTGTGTCCCAGTGTCTGCCAACCTCACCAAGGGCCACCATTTTCTCTCTTGACCTCCTGCGACTGCCTACTGTCTGCTTCTCCTACCTCCAACTTGTTTCTCCCACAATATTCTCTGTGTTCCTGCAAATGAAAATGTGATTATGTCACCTCCTTCAAAGCTTCACATCATCCTTAGGAAAAAATTCAAATTTCTAAGCATTTGTTCACCAGAAACTAGAACAGTCTTGAAAGCATAGTAGATTCTCATTATATGAGTTTCCTAGGCCTGCTGTAACAAAGTGCCACAAACTGGGTGGCTTAAAATCACAGAAATGTATTCTGTCACAGTTCTGAAGGCTGTAAGTCCAATATCCCCTGAAGTCTCGAAGGGAGGATATTTCTTTTTCTCTTTCAGCTTCTTGCCACCCCAGGCACTCTTTAGCTGCAATTGCTCCCTCCAACTTCACATGGTGGTCTTCTCTCTGTGCATCCAAATTTCCCTCTTATTGTTAGGACACAAGTTACACTGAATTAAGGCCCACCTTAATGACCTCATCTTAACTTGATTACATCTGTAAGAATCCTATTTGCAAATGAAGTACCATTCACAGGTACTGGGGTTAGGACTTCAACATATCTTTTGGGGAACACAATTTAACCCATAACACTTAGTAAATAGGAGGAATATTTGGATTTATTGATTTTATTTTCTCATATTGATTTCCTTTTAATAGTCATATACTGTTCTAAGGACTTTACATGTCTCAACTCATGTAATACTCACAATAAATCTGTGAGTTAGATACTATTTGTCTCTATTTAACTAATGAAAAAAAAAAAACCGAGGCAGAGAGGTTAAGTAATTTGCCTAGGGTCACATAGCTGGTAAGTGACATAATAGGGATTCCAACCCAAGTAGTAAATATTTGTTGAATGAATGAATTAAATAATGAAGTAATTGCTTACATAGTCTTGTAATAAGTATAAGTCGGATGATGAATGAGGGCTTAAAAGTCTCTTTTGATGCATATTTGTTGAATGAAAGAATGGATGTTTTATGAAGCTTTTTAGAAGCTACCTCATACCAGGCCTTCCGTTTTAAGGACCCTGTCCTTCCTCTTCCTGGTTCCTGTCTTAATGCTATAGTCATTCTGATCTTTTGTTTCCTTGAACTATTCTCAATCACTTTCCATTTTTCCCCATTTTCCCCAACTCTGATGCTTAATAGATACTGCAGCTCTAATCTTCAGTATTCTTCGGCCTTTTAATTTGAGGTTTAAAATGGATGTCCTTGGTATTTGATCTTGACTCTAAAAGCATTCTGCTTTGGCTTCCTGCTAACTCTTAACACTCTTTCTTAACTCTAACCTGGTGTCACTGATCCCAAACCTGGCTATGTGGCTAGCACACAGCTTCTCCATAAGGTGTTGGTAGAGTGAGGCAGGCAGATATTAAGCAGAATGATCAGACATTGGGTTTAGTCTATGTTCTGGGTAGAAACATCAAGAACTGTACAGAGGCAGGGGACAGTAATTAGTGTTCACAATGATGTCCCAACAGCCATTCTGGGGATGCAAGGCTCTGAAGAACAAACTGGAATCTTAAACTACAAGCAGAGTCAAGCACAGGCTGCAAAAGGCAAGGTGAAATTACAGAGTACCTCAAACACATGTTGAAGACTGCAGTTCTCACTCAGCTTTAACTGGGTCGCCTACAGGTGCAAGTTTTTTTTCCTCTGGGCATTTTAAAGGTACCACTTGGCCTCTGACATTTGTACAAAGGGTAAGCAAAGTTCTCCTTATAGTCTTAAAATGTTGATAAAACTAGTAAAATGTATTTTTAAGATTTTGTGTTTACCATAGACATATTATTTGAACTGAAATATTTGAGATGAAGAGCTCTAGTGGTAAGAGAGAGAGAAGAGTTTATAACTCTGCATGTTTAAGTACATAAATAATTTTTTTAGGAAGATAAAGAACAAGTTGAAGATAACTTAAAATGTTTCTAATAAATCAAGAGAAATATAAAAATCTGAGTTTTGAATTATTAGTAATTTTTATTCAGATGTTTTTCATTTATTCTTTCTTTGCAAATTATTTTAAATATGTTTGTTTTCATTGCTTAGTAATGTTTCACTGCACCAGTCAATTACAATAAAAATTTTTATATATTTTTTTTTAAATTTTTATATTTTTAAATAAATTATTTTGTGAATACAGTCACGTACTTTTAAAATTCAATTATTGCCAGGAGATTTTTAATAAAGTGTAGTAGTTCTCTGCCTTAACCCCTATTTATCCAGGACTCTCTTATAGATGCATACGCTTTCAACTCTTTTAGCTATTTCATCCAACATTTACACATCTACATATTCCCAAATAATGTGTATACTGTCTTTTGATTCATCATTTTAAGATACTATCTCTTGACTTTCTATTAATATAAATGATGATTTAACATTTACACTGTCCTACTCTGTTTCCCTTCTCTATCTCCAAACAGTATAATATTTGATACTTATAATGACTATCAAATATTTTCACAGTCATGTGTCAGATAGTACAATACAATTATTCCATTTCCTTTTTTATTTTTATGTGTTTCTGAAGTTATTGATTGCCTTGCTTTTTTCACCTATTTAATTTTCTTTGCACCTATTGCTAATTTTCCTTACCTTCTAATAACTTCTTAGTACAAGTTTCTACACGTTCAATCATATCACATTTCTAAAACTACATATTATTTCTTGAAGCCTTCATTCCTGGAACCAACATTCTACTTTCATCTGGTTGCTCTTCATGCCCATTTCTTAGTTGTCTTTCTATACCTTTGCTATCATCTATAGAAATTCCTTTGCCTTCTGAATTGTTTCTCATTTCCTGGACCTAATGTCTTCTCTTTCTGGGTCTGCTCCTTTATTTTAATGAAATCTATTTTTTAGAAGTTTTTTCAGGTAGAAAAGAGGCAAAGAGTATGAGTATGAGAACCTTCAACATGCCTGTCTTTTGAGTCACACTGTCAATTATGGACTGGTTGCCTTTTATACCTGGTGCACAATTTTTATCTTGATATGTCCAGGACAATCAACATCATCTGTAAGATTCTGTTCAATTCTTTTTTGTGTGGATACCCTGTTTTCTGTAACTCATGTAATTCTTTATATAAATGTGTGTGCGTTTGTGTGTATAAAAATAGATTTACTTTAAGAGATTGGCTCATTCAGTTGTAGAGGCTGGCAGATCTGAAATCCAGCAGGCTGGAAATTCTGGCAAGAGTAAATGTTGCAAGTCTCGAGTCCAAAGTCTGGAGTCTAGAGGCAGAATTACTTCCTCTTCTGGGATCCTCAGTCTTTATAAATCTCTTTTTTTAAAACATATTTTTTAAATTGGTAAGTAAAAATTACATATATTTATGGTATACAACATGATGTTTGAGATATATATATATAATATGTACATATATATATATATATATATCCATTGTGGAATGGTTAAATCAAGCTATTTAACATATGCATTACTTCACCTATCATTTTCTGTGTGATTTTAAGAACACTTCAAATCACTCTTTTAGTAATTTTCAAGTATACAGTATATTACTATTTAACTATAGTCACCATGATATACAATAGATGAATAAAAGGTAAAAATTTTGAGACTATATATCTGAATGTATATATATATATATATATATATTATTTATCTATTTATTTATTTGTTTATTTTTGAGACAGAGTCTCACACCATCACCTGGGCTGGAGTGCAACGGAGCAATCTTGGCTCACTGCAACCTCCGCCTCCCGGGTTCAAGCAATTCTCCTGCCTCAGCCTCCTGAGTAGCTGAGATTACAGGTGCCCACCACTGCACCCAGCTAATTTTCTTTTTTTGTATTTTTAGTAGAGACAGGGTTTGGCCAGGCTGATCTCGAACTCATGAACCTCGTGAACCGCCCACCTCAACCTCCCAAAGTGCTAGGATTACAGGCATGAGCCACTACACCCGGCCCTGAAATTATTTTTATAGTAACTTTGTATTTGATTGAAAATTGGGTAGAATATAGAATTTTAGATTAGAAACGTTAGGTTTTTCTTTAGAATTTTGAATACATTATTACTGTTTTCTTGCATCTAGTGCTGTTGTTGAGAAGATCAAAGCCATGCTTAATCCTGATCTTTTGAGTTGTCTGTTTTGCTTTCCTCTGAAAGCTATTTATTCATTTATTTATTTAGTCCTCAATGTTTTCAAATTTCAGAGACTTGGTGTTGTCATCCAGGTTAAGCACTGGAGCTTTATTAGTTTGGAAAATCATGTCCTTTAATTCTTGGAAGTTTTCTTAAAATATTTCTTTGATGATTTTCTTTTCTCTTTTTTAGGGACTATAGTACTATATTTTTGGAGGCTGTACCACCTGGAACAATATTCGAATTTTTCTTCCTTTTCTTTAATATTTTCCATTTCTCTATCTTTTTGAACTTCTTTCTTGGGTATTTCTTCACCTTTAGCTTTGAATCTGTACTTCTATCAAGTTTTATATCATAAAGTAAGAACAGGAGACTCCATAAAAAGAACAATCAGCATAAAAATATTAAAAGCACAATATCTGAAATTGAAAAACTCAATAGAAGTTTAGTTGAAAGTTTCTTACTTTTCTTACCTCTCTGAGGTTAATAATTATAATCTTAAAAATTTTCTTCTCCTCTAGAGCCTTTCTTTCCTTAAAATGCTTTTTTGCTTCTCTTCCTTCTGTTAGATTTCCTTAGATGTCTCCTAATCCTTAGTTGTATGCCCATGATTAAGAGTTGAAGACTGAAATACTATCGCACTCTGAGCATGTAGGTGGAATTTCTTTACTTTGATCTTCCTTTTGGGATGATATAGGTAGGTTATATTTGGGAACCCTTCAACATCAGTTTTAGGCTTTTGTTCAGCAGCTGGTCAGATATCCCTCTAAGTATTCCATCAATACCCTTCCTGGAGTCTGAATTTTTGGCTTCTAGAGATCAGTGGGTGGAGAGGAAGGAGAAAGCTAGACATCTCAGCATTTAGTATGCTGCCTACAGAATGTAGGTATCACCTTATTCTTATGTTTTTGATATAGTACTCATGGCCCTAAATGTACCTGACATCCCTCAATCTAGAGATCCCACCTTCTCAGCTTCTGCAGAGACACCAGTGACATGGATTTAGGTATTTCATATTTCTAAAACAAGTTTCCATCGATCACAAGACACACCATTATTTCCCATCTAAGAAAGAAAGAATTCTTCTAGTTCCAATTGTAAATGCCATCAGCTGAAATGTGCACACCCATTTCAAAGTTGTAAAAAGGGAAAAAAATGTACAACTTAGGAATGAATACAATATAATGTTGGCACCCTCCTCCCCTTCACACCCTATCCTGTGAGTACTTGGTACTGCTAACTTCTAAGCCTTAGTTCTTCATTTTCCCCATTATTAGCTCAGGATTCAGTTTTCTTGTATCTGCTAAAGCTGGTATACTTATCTGTCTGCTTTCCAGGTTCCAAATTTTTGTTCCTATAATATACTGTTGCTCTTTTCCATTTTTGCAGTTCACATATTTTTAAAAAATTATACATAGTTATACCAAGATCTGAAAGGGAGTAAAACTTGCATTGGAAAAATAATTTAAGAGGGGGATATATTTATAAATATATGAAAAGAGCTGGCCACTACTAACACAAAGTAACACGAATGTGGGCAGATCACACTGAAAAAATCTTTGCTTCAGTTGTAGCTAATGAGCATCCAACCCGTGGTATAGTTAGAAAAGAGTTGATACATACAATGCTTAACTGGCTCTCTCTAATCCCCAAATCATTCACTAAAAGGACACAAAGCCAATGTCTTCTGGTCTTGTTCCAACTTCTTCTTTATATCTTGAGGGTTGTAATAACACTTGCCTTTTCTGGGATTTTATAGAAAATATGAAACAGTGACAATCCTAATAACTTTTTTTTGCACAGTGCTTTACCACTTATAAGATGCTTTCATATGTGTTTATTTTTAATAAATGTGACAGTGCTTTGAAACACTGAAACTACAAGATAAACAGAACATTTAAAAATTTCCCATAAAATATTTTATATATTGAAAGTCACTTCAGGGCCTTTTATATATGAAATATTATATGGGAATATAATATTATATCACCATGAAGGTGATCGGACAGGAAAGAAAACTAGTGTCTCTGAAGTTTGAACCTCAGTAAGCTCTTTCCAAATGACACAGACCACCCTATGTGTTGTTGGAGGTCTTCCTGGAGGTCCATTGCTCCCTCTCATCTGCAGATAGGCTAGGTAATTTTATCGTCTGGACTGTCTACACCAGCCCTTGAAAAGTCACATTTAGTAGAATGTTTAAAAAAGCATCCATTTTGTTCAGAAGCGATTCAATCTGGAATATGATCTTTCTGCGGCTTCCCACTACTTGTGGCAGTAATTTTATCTTTTGGTAGAAAGCTTGCAATAATATTATGTTCTTGGAGGAAAAGGGGAAGAGGAAAAAGTCCATATTACAGTGAGTGATTCAAAAAAATACAAAAAATTTTAATAAAAACCTTTAGAAAAGACATAGAAATATATGTACAAAACTGCTCTTTTCCTTTTTTAAAGGGCTTTACTTGTCTTTTGTGGAAGATTTTAAAAAGACCAAGGCAAAGGTATTTCTGCTTCTCTCTAATCTACATGAAGCTAGCTGTTTGGAGTAGACTGACTTTGTAGTGGGAAAACATGGGCCTGGAATATTTTAATCCTCCCCTTCCCCCACAAAGTCTGACTACAGCTTCCTAAGAGTTCTTGAAGGCAGTTTGTACCTATGTCCAAAAGGAAAGCGATTTATGTTACTACCATGAAAATTCACAGAGACTTTTCATGAGAAACAGCAGTTGCAATTGAAGTTACTGGGTGTTGTAATACAGTAAGTACAAGCTTTACTGAAGGTCTATGAAACCTCTGTGATATTTAGACAGAGGTACAACTGCTTCCATAAGGCTCATCCAGCTAGTTGCAGAGTCGTTTTGGGGAGAGAGTAGAAGGCCCTTTTGACCCTGAGACTCACAATCACAGAGATCTCAAATTCAGACTTTGGACATTATTTCTAAATGAGGTCACACATACAGCTGCAGAGCTACACTGACAAGATTGAAAGAAGTTCATTGTGTCACTTTAAACTCATGCCTTGCTGCAAAGACATGAGTGCTGACAGCCCAAATCAAACCCCCAGCATTTTCCACCTGAATTACTGCAGGAGACTCTGAAATTGTCTCCCTGCTTCCACTCTTGCACCCTACCACCTATTCTCCAAAAAGCAGACCGAATGATCTTTTTGAAGAGCAAATGTCATAACCCTGATCACAAACTTCTGATGCATTCCCATCAAACTAAGAAAAAGATAAATCCTAAGTCCTTAGCACAACCTATACCACCCTACATCATCTGAATTTTAGCTATCTCCCCTACTTCATTTCAATCAATTTCACTGCATTCCAAGCAAACTAACATTCTTACTATTTTTTTGAACATGGCAGGGATGCCCCCATCTCAGGGTCTTTGCATGTGCTACTCCTTTTACTTGGAAAACTCTTCCCACTAAGTGTTTACATGACTTGCTTCCTCCTTTCATTTGGGTCTTTCTTCAAAAATAACTTTCTTAGAAAGATTGTACAGAGAATACCTTATTTAAAAGAACACCTTTGTCACTATTCTTTCAGGATGCTTTAATTTTCTTTACAGCACACACATACATACACACACACATTTATTGTGCCTATTTGCTTCTTGTCTTCCTCACAAGAATATAAGCCCCATGAAGGCAAGGGCTGATTTTGTTCACTGCTGTGAGCCTAGAACACTACCTGGAATACCGTAGGTGCTCAATAAGTGTTTGGTGAGTGAATGAATGATCATTGAATCATTCCGCGTGTGGTGTACTAAGAATTAATCTATTTCTTGCATATGTTTTGTGATAAAACCACTAACCTGGAACATGGCCACTTAGGGAAAGTTGCACCACTTACTCTCTTACTTCCAGCTTCCTGTCCCATCCTCCAGCACTTCAAGAGGTCTCGTGAGCATGTATGGGACAGTCAGCTACATGTGTAAGACCTGTTCATGGTGTCTCTACCCAGCCACCCTCTACAACAAACTGCCATTCCTTGGACACTGCTTTGGTACAGGATGTGCACACCAGCAGCAAGTTCTGTCCTTGGGAAGATAGACCAGGCAAGAAGATGAAGCAGCCCTGGACATGAGTACATAGTAGGCAGGGAATTCTGGAGTTCTGAATATCTGAAGGCCTGGTCTGTAGGGGGAGCATGGGCTATCATGGACCGGTCCTCTGTCATGGGAAGGGACATAGTTGAAGGACTAAAGCTGTCTAGCTACTAGTCAGTCATGGCTATTTAATTAGAATTCAAATTAATATAATTTAGTGAAATTGTAATTCACTTCCTCGGTTGGACTAGCTACATTTCAAATGTTCAATAGCACATATGACTAGTAGTTACTTTATTGCCCTGGATGCAGATATAGAACCTTTTCACAATTGCAAAAATTTCTACTGGACAACACTGCTCTAAAGCATGGTGCCCTGGACCCTCTTGCCCAGCTTTAAGTGCAATACTCTGTAAGATTTGTTAAATCTACTTGATTTATTCAGAGAACATTTATTGAGCACCCACTATGTTCCATGTGCCATATGAGTTACTGGGAAATCAGAAATCAACAAGGCACAATTTCCGTCTCCAAAGAACTCACCACTACTGACACAAAGTAATATGAGTGTGGGCAGATCACATCGATGAAATCTTTGCTGCAGTTGTAATCAAGGAGTCTCAAGCAGAATATAGGTGTTCCACTCAGGGAAATGGGATACAGGAAAAATGGAGATGAAGAAATACAAAAACCATCAAAAAATACAAAAATATGGAAATCAAAGGAGCCCTTATTAGCTTGGAGACCCAGCACCTTGTACATAATAGAAACTTCTGCCTTTTGAATTAGATTAGATGTTACAAGAGCACAGAAATGACGAGAAGTGGCTCGTCTTACTTCATGAAGGTTTTAAAATTTTATTTTGTTTTTTAGGATAACTGAAGAAATTTTGTTTTTTAGAATAACTAAAGAGATTTTTTTAATCTACATCTTTAAAGTTTTATTTGTCTGTGGTTTAACTTTATTTTTTTAAATGACCCATTTGTAATTCAAAATTTCCTCAAGTATATATTTTTCAAAATTTCTCAATTTTTTTTATCATTTCAGAACACACAGAAAATTAGAATTCAACACTAATCATGCATTTTTCTGCTCAAACTGAGTAAATCTGTTTTAGAAAAAAATTACCTTAGAAAGTTAAGCCTAAATTAATTTTTCTGAATTGGACTCATTTCATTTTTGCAATTTTGGTCATCTCACAAATATATAGACAGTTTTGTATAGATGTTGTATGACAATAAACACAGGGTTTTTAATAAAGTGCTTACCTGGCTTCCAAAATGGTTTCAAGTTTTCCTTCTTACTGTTGCCTGACCATCATATCTAAAAGCTAAAAGGCCCTCCCAGGAGCTTTTGAGAAATTGAAACTAAGGAAATAATAAGTTTCTCCAGAACCTCTGAGACTTTGGGACTTTGGGACTTTGTTAAGTTTACTGGATCATTAGTTTTGTTTATGCTTCTAATTAGTGTTAAATTGTTAACTTGATTCTTCATTTCACATAAACTGTTGATAAGTGGCAGCTGTCAGTAAGGCAAGTTTGAAACATGTTATTCCGAAAGTGTAAAGACACATTTTCAAATACACTTTCCCCCTTGGAGAGGAATGCCCATTCCAAGAGATCACCATGCTAATTGTTGTAAATCTTCCCTCATTATCATAAATGCAATATTTCATCCAAAGATATTGTCTAAATAAACTAAATTGCCATTTATAATCTACTAGCAATTCCACCTGTGTTTCCCAGAACGCATTTTTGCCCTTGTTTGGTCTAGATTCTAGACTCTGAAATTTCTACATGCTTCATAGAGGTACGTATTGTATATTGTAGTGCTATGTGTCTGCATCACCTTATGTATTTCTAGTATGTCAACATGCACATTTCTATTATTGCAGATTATTTACTCAATCTCAGAATATTTATTTTTATAAATTATAAATATATTTAATATGCACAGACAATTAAATCCTTTAATTTCATTTTCTAATGGGCTGGCTATAATGAGTTCATTCGGTAGGAAAACAAAAGGAAACATTATAAACCGGTTTAATTCTATTTATATGACCTATAAGGAAGACTTATTTGAGGTGAAGAGAAATTGCCTTTGGAGAATTGGTAAATGTATTTCATTTTCAGTAGAATATCAGAAAGATAATAGTAATAGTTCCATGGTGAGGTCTTTTTGGAAGATTCATAAACTCCAATTGGATCCTTCTTCATAAATCATGTAAATCTATAGAATATCATTGTTACTGTCACATTCTTTTGAGTACATATTTTAATTTCCTTCAGTATGGCATCAGAAGTTGAACTGATAGCCAAAATTGCCAGTTATCCTGAGCACCAATTTATGAGGTCCATAAAAAGTAGCCATGCACAAAGAAAACATATTTCATTGTAAAGTTACCTCTCATGGAATAAAAACAAAACTTTAAAATTAAAAAGTAAGAAGTTGAGAATATCCTGTTATCTTAGTCTGTCTCTAGACACTGGCTAGACAAGTTTCAGGATTTTTTTATTGATCACTCAAACATCAGCTTCTAAGAATTTAACATATCTCTACATTTTTAAGAGAGGTTCAATATGTTGTTGAAAGAAAGCTTTATGCCTTGGCAGAACACATCATATCAATTTTTTCTAGAAATAAATTCTACCTTTGTCCACCTGGTTGAATCAGTTGATCAAAATTTATTTATATTTAAAAATCAGTTTTGTAATCTACAGTATTCTCACAATGTGCTCATTAGTTCTAAGATTCTAGTTTTCAAACTTGACACATCCAGAATTTTTATTTTTTAAAGAACCCGGATTCAAGAAGTATAATGCCCCTATTTTCCTACTAATGTTACTCTGGGTAACAAGTCTGCTAGAATTACCGTTAGAAATGAGTGCAATAGGGCCGGGCGTGGTGGCTCATGCCTGTAATCCCAGCACTTTGGGAGGTTGAGGCAGGCGGATCACGTGGTCAGGAGATCGAGACCATCCTGGCTAACACGGTGAAACCCCGTCTCTACTAAAAATATGAAAAATTAGCCAGGCGTGGTGGTGGGCGCCTGTAGTCCCAGCTACTGGGGAGGCTGAGGCAGGAGAATGGCGTGAACCCGGGAGGTGGAGCTTGCAGTGAGTGGAGATCGCGTCACTGCACTCCAGCCTGGACGACAGAGCGAGACTCCGTCTCAAAAAAAAAAAAAAAAAGAAAGAAAAGAAAGAAATGAATGCAACAAGAATTGTTCTAACTGCCATTCTTTTGTCTGTATTACACAAATGAATGTCAAGCTTCATCTTTCAGTACTCTAGGATTCCAATGTTACTACTTTATTTTGTTTTGGAGAGGGGGGGTTGGAGGGAAAAATAAGTTCTAATAATTATGGGAAAATATAAGTGAAATAAAGGATTTTTCAGATGTATTAATACAGCGGAACAGGGCCTGCCTGATACATAGCATGTGCTTATTATATCTCAAAGAAAGGAAATATAATATGCAGTGTTTCCCAAACTTATTAGACAACAGAACTCATTTTTTGAGATGCCCTTATTAACATTTTTCAGAATAGGTGCTTAGCACATGGCAGATTCTCAGGAAATGTTTGAATGAATGAACAAATGAACAAATTGAGTTTGAGAAGTGCTAACTGATAAATATACAATGTTATAGAATTTCTCTAAGGTCAGAGAGCGTTTCTAATTTGTTTTCAGATGCTTGCTGCATCCAGTAGTTTCCTGTAACCTGTGGATACAAAATAAATACTTGCTATTGTTACAGAAAAAAGAAATTAAGAAAATTGTTTTTTTTTTTTTTTTTTTGAGACAGAGTCTCGCTCTGATGTCCAGGCTAGAGTGCAGTGGCACGACCTCGGCTCACTGCAACCTCCGCCTCCCAGGTTCAAGCAATTCTCCTGCCTCAGCCTCCTGAGTAGCTGGGATTGTAGGCACCTGCTACCATGCCCAGCTAATTTTTGTATTTTTAGTACAGATGGGGTTTCACCATGTTGGTCAGGCTGGTCTCGAACCCCTGATCTCTTGATCCACCTGCCTCAGCCTCCCAAAGTGCTGGGATTTTTTTTTTAAATAATAATATTTTTTAAATGGCATATGAGGAGAGGCTCACTGCCCTTTAAGCCTGTTCACACACAAACTAGTTTTCAAGGGTATATAGACATATCTTCACAGTTGCCATAGAGAAGTGAAAAGTTTGATTAATGGTACCAAAGTGAAAGTGATGACTGCATCTGGATAGTGCATTATTTATGGCTAATATTTTAATTATCAAAAATATTACAGAAACACATGATCACAAATGGGCTGCGGAAAGGATCTGATATACTGAAACATTCTTATTGAGGCCCTCCTTGGTGGAGAATAGATAGAAACCCCCTCAACTTCATGTCCACATTCTCTCTTCGGTAGCAAACATGAGTGCCAGCTTCAACACCCTGCACCACTGCTCTGAGAAGACCATAGAATGGAACCAAGTGGATATTTTCTGGCCACCTCTATCTTTCCAGGAAAATGCCCTGGAGTGCACACGCTTCATTACGGCCTTGGCAAAACACCAGCATGCACCAGCTGTGCATGGACTGCTCAGCCCCTGCCTGGTGGAGAGGAATAGAAGTCATCGGTCTTCCTCTGCAGGTTTTCATTAACTCTCTGCTAATCTAGAGCATTAATTCTTGGACTTCTGGGAAAACAGAGTTGTCTAATCCTAAAATCTTAAAGGCAAACATCTTCCTTTTCAAATCTACTTCTGGAATTTGTGGGCTTTTGAAAGTAACATTCACAGCAGATTTGAAATATCCACTATTTGCACAGGACAAGTCAATAATGGTGTGAGTTCCATCTATTACCTGTTATCTGAATGCACCAAATTAGAAGGAAAACTAGAGGGAGCTAGGATGGGGGGCAGGGTGGGAATCTGTTACTTCAGTTAGGTTTACAGGGAGTCCTTGTAAACAGGGTGCTAAAAAGTGTGTTGGTTTTTTTTTAACCTTTTGTGACACACAACAGAGCTGTGAAGTCAGTGAATTAAATAGTTCCAGTCCCCTGGGCACACATGAGCAATAGCATAAAAATGGACAGCACCCATTATAACATTACTGTTATGGAGCAGATGGACAGCTTCGGTTTCAGTCTTTTGTCCTTACTTTAGAATGGGGCAGAACTGGGAATCGACTGTAAATTTTCTCAAAAGAGATGAATAGGAAAGCTGTTAACTTTTTTCTTATTAAAAAAAGAAACCTGGAAAAATTCCAAATTACACATTTTGCAGCTCTTTGACTGCAATTCTTTAGCTTTTGATGCAAAACATCTGTAGGTGGTTAAGCATTTCCCACCCTCATTCCCCAAAATGGAATATCTCATTCCTGGCAAGACATCCAATGCCTGCAAAGACATATGTTTACCAAACCAGTTCATTGCCATATGTGTGCCAGTTTCTCCAGAGCGTGCTGCCTATGAGTCGATTGGCTTAGCTTAAGAGGCTCAGAAAGGAGAAATAAGCAGGAAACAGAGGTCGAGAAAGAAGTAAAAGATGGGAAGAGAGCAAGAGAGAGGGAGAAAAAAGGGGGAGGAGAAGACAATTATTTTTCATTATACTTTCAAAACTTAATCTCTTCATTTTGCAGTAAATATTGATGAGACATTTTGCAGTCATATCACAGTTGCTTTTCTCCTAGTAGGTAATTTCCAAAAACACTGAATGTCAAGATAATGAGGGTACCAAATAGGTGAGCCATCAGATTTGAGGTATGTTGACATCTAGTCATCTCCAAATTTAATTCTATGATGATTGACAGAATTAGCTAATGAAACAAACATTAATAATCACTTGAGTTCAAATTTTAATTTTGGATTTAGAAAAGCTTAGCATATTTTGAAATATTCCAAAATGGAACTTTAAATAGAATCTTGTCAGACTCAGTGAGTAATTTTAGTGACCAATGAGGGGGAAAATGGTTATTTACACAATACTTAGGTTCTTTGAAATAATTACACATTTTAAAATAATTCTGCAGAATAAGAAAAACTTACCTCTTTAGCAAACAAAAAAGGAAATTTTACATTTTATTTTTTAAAAGTTTCTGTCCTGTACATTAATTAAAATATTCTAATTTAAAATACAAAATAGCAATAGGGACAAACTGTTGGCCATAAATGGCTTTTAAATGTTAATTGACAAATATGTTAATAATCCCCTGGAGCATATAACAGTTTTCTTTAAGAGAACTTTACATAAGAAAGATAACTTGAAGCTTTCAAAGAGGACCAGTGTTTGATATAAGTATTAGCTGTGAAACTGATATTATTAATGATTCAATTTTGACCCAGCCAAATTACATTATTTGTATTATGAACCAATCTAAGAATTTACAAAGTTTTATCTATCCTAATTTTTCTAACATTTATAACTATGTATAGTCAGTATGAACCTGGATAAAGCTTTGAAATAGCAGAAATGTATCACCACAAGCAACTTTTATATGTTCCCATAAAGTTTATGTTTTATCTTTGAAAAGCTTCTGCTGTTTAATAAGATTTAGCTTCTTACTTTTAATCTCATATTACAGTTGCAAAAACAAAAAGAAGAAGAAAGATCTAGTACTGCTCTGCATGTTGCAGTGTTGTACATCACTTCCTCCAATAAGTAAACAAGATTCTCAAAGAGCACTTGAGAGGACATACTAACCGTGTAGTATTGTTGGCCACACAGAACTTTAAATAAGCAAATGGATTGTGGTTTTAAAACACCACATTTTATTAGAAGAAAAGAAAGACTAATAGACACTTTTTGTATGTGTTCGTTCAACAATTTTAAAGGAATTTAAAATTGTGTAACTTATTTTCAACTTTCATGTTGCCTATCAATTGTTATATTATTAATAGATGTCATTAAGATGACCAGTTTCTGCTTTCTATGGCTATAGTAGGACTTCACAAGTACTAATTACTTAAAAAGAGAACAATAAGATGTTCTTTATGTTATATGAGAGACTCGGTAGGTATTTGGAAGATTACTTTTAACATTACAGCTTTTAATGGTATTTTATATTCATTGTACTTTTTTGCTTTGTTTTGTTTTATTTTTTGTTTCTTTTTTATTGCCTTCAAATGAAATTTTACTATGCATTGCAGTCTAAAAAGCTAAATTTTCCTTACAATGATGAACACAGGTTTTCTTAATCATAACAAATTAGTGTCCTATAATGAGGAGGGAATAGTGATTAAAACCTTTAAACTTGTATTTCAAAAGAGAAGAAAAAATACATGGATTATTCAGAATGGGCTATTTAGTTCTATGTATCAAACTTAGCAAGAATGAAAGTCTGTCCCATGATTAATTTTACCAACTCAGGTAATGGAGAACATTCTAACAATGGAGATAGCTTAAACTTTAAACACTTTTAACAGACAAAATAATGTGCAATCATGTCTCTGTGCATCTTGTAAAAAAAAACATGCACAGTATTTTCATTTGGAAAGTTTTTCCTCTGTGCAGTTATAGCAAGGTCCCAACACAAGTCAGTTTACATGTTTTGATTTCCACTGAGTTGTTTGTTTGAATGAATGTATCAGCAATTGGCAAAATTATCAAAACATTTATCTAGTGAGTTGCATAAACTTTGTTTAAAATAATGCGTAAAGTTTCACAGATTAGGGAAAAAAAAGTGTATTTTATTATAGCCAAGATTGAACTGACATATTAAACTAAAATAGTTTAAATTTTGTGCAACTTTAGAAATTATCTTATTCTAAATCTCACGGCAAAGAATAATCTGGGGGAGCAGGAAAGGGAATGAGGTTAGTACATTGATAAGGGTAAAAACCTAGCTGACACACAGATTACAAATGACAAGATTTTGCAACAATCTTGCATCTGGATCTATACAAAAAATTGCATGAGAAAATAAAGACTTGTTTCTAGTGTTTCCAAACAGATCTTTCTAAATTTAAGCTATAAAAGGCTGTTTCACCTCAGGCCTGCATGAGAACCACTGCTGTCCCTTGTGGGGACTACCTTATTTCCATTTTCCAGACACATGTTTTCCCCTTTCTCAACTATTTTAAGAATTATAAGTAAGCAGGACTCTAAAATTCAAGTTCAGTGTGCAGAGAGTTAATTTAAATATGATAACAAATGGCTCTGCTTTTGAAATGAATGTAGCCTGGCAACTTCAACTGGGAACCCTTCGGAGGGCCTCAATTATGTATGCGGTTTCTTTGAGAAATAGTTTCACACATCTGACCCAAGGACCAGTATGTTGTTGCCATGAAATAAAACTGTACGTAGGCATTGTTTCATTGCTGCACCCTCCACACACTGCCGGCCTCCACTCCCTTCCCCCACCCTGCACATGCATGTACACACACATACACACACTCACACAAACTCTTTTATTGTCATTCCGCTTCTATTTTTCTAGTAGAGTGAATGTATCAACGTAATTATCATGAACATAATGGCCCGTGATTACTTTTATTTGCTATAAAAATATTCTGATTCTAACTGCCAAACTGTTCCGGTCAAAATCAGGAGTGGGAAACCTACAAGATAAGTAAAGGGTTAAACCACCCACACCATTTCAATTTTTTTCAAAATGGCTGCTTTGTCTGTGTGCATACACCAATAGCAAATGTCCTTCTGTTATTGTACAGCCAATTTGATGTGTCAAGTATTCATATGCTAATAACGGTACAGTTTCTCACTTTTTCACAGATAAATGGTAAAGATTGTTACAGACAGTGAAACACAAGAATAAACAGCTTTTATTTCAGACGCGATAAATTACTTTCCATTCAAATAACATGCGACACACGCTGCTGACCATTTTGTTTCTATTCACTGTTAGTTTGCCTTCTGGGTGTGTTTTTTTAGAATAGTTTGAAAATATTTAACAGATATGGACAGAGTTGTTACTAATGACTTGATTGCATTAATTTGCTTTGTAGTCATTTCATCACTCGAAGTTCATTTTTATGCTCAGTTATTACAGTGGGAGAAAGTTTGATGGAAAATCTGACACTGTTTCCCTAACATGGTACAATCAAGTCTTTTTAAAGCTTGGTAATGACAGTATTTGAAGAATGGATATCTTCCCTTCCAGGTTAGCAGAAATGTCATTCAGTAAATAAAATCCCTTGCTAAGAGTATCACCTAAAAAAAGACACTTGAATGAAATGTACGTTGTTCTGTCAGAACAAAGTGAAATCACTTTGGTTTTCTAAGACATAAATATGTCCTTTTAGAAACCCTGAGTAGGTTAAATATATATGATTAAAGCATACACTTATTGCTAGGGTAGACAAATTAATGCAAAGATGAGGGTGGGGGAGGGGACTGAAGTATGAGAGAGAATTAACCAGTCCTTAAAGAAATATTTTTAAAATAATGTACCCATGAACATGCATGCACTGATGACAGTTATAAATCAAAAGAAACATTTCTGATTTATTTCTCCTCAATTTAACAAGATGCACTTATCTGTTCTTGAGTTGCAATACTTTTAGGGACAAAAATTAGAATACCTAGAAATTAAGCTAATGATTCTTCTAGCTACTTCTTACATTCACCTTATTGTGCCTAAATCTTTTGTCTGAGCTTTACATATGACCATTTTTTGGTTTATGTTTGGTCCCCTCTGATTGTTACATATACTTGAATTGCTTGCTTGGATGGGGAGCATACAAAATAATTAAGTAAACATGAAGAAAAGTAGCTTGATTCGTTGCTAGGCTGAAGGATCACATAGAAAAGTTTTTTTCCAATTGCCCAAAATTAAGTACAAATACACACATGCACTTCCATATACTCAGATGCAGACAAAATCAAACTAGAGAATTTTTAGAAGCACTACCCTGGATCATGCCTTAAGACATTAAGGATTCCAAAGGTAACTATGACATTAGGTCAATGAGGCTGCAGCTCCCTAATAGTGTAATCAGCAGATTGTAAATTTTTACATAATTCTAGGACAAAAGCTAGCTATTTTGAAGCAGTCTTATAATCTGAGGCCTTTTCTCTGAGCTCCAAAATACCAGAGAAGATTATTGTATCATATCAATGAGGAATAGTAAATGCAAGTGACCAGTTTTATATTAAACATGGACAATCAAGAGATTTTTCTACTATAAGGCTACACAAATAAGCTCATAAAACTTATTACCCTTTCTTCCTCTCTAACGCCATTGTTAAAAATACAAATTAATAGGATCAACTTCAAATATCTATTTTAAATTCTGCCTTTTATATATGTTATTTTTTTTTCTACAGGAAGAGTAGTTAATGGCAGATGAAATACTAATTTTTACTTTATGGGACACCCATCAAAAAGTGACTGTAAGCTAATTTATCAAAATTGAAATAAAGTAGGACACCAGTAGCTATTTCAAGAATTAATTTAAAATGTGCTATATGCCACACATGCTGCATTACTCAGAATGTGTTATTAATTTAAATGTTTCTTAACTAATTATAAAGACTAAATGGAGAACTTTTGCCCGTTGTTTCTTTTCTTCCCCCATCTAGTCTCTTTATCTGTGTAAATACAATTAGGCCTCACTCAGAGCTCTGGGTCTTTGTCTTTCCCCTTTTAATTCCTGTCCTTAGTGTAATTAGCACCTTGGGCACAATCGTAGGAATACACACAGGGAGTTTATTTTCACTGACTATTTTGATATTGCTTCTATCACTTTACCCTCGAACACCATTTTCATTTGCTCTGGGAACTTTCTAAGTACAGAGGTTTAAATCACTAACTCAAATTTTATACTGTGGACAGACAGTTATACATGGATATACAGGACCTGTTCAGAACATGTCAGCTGCACATGATATTTGATCTTTCGTCATACACTCATGCCCATGAACTCCAGGCACACTTATCTGGGTTAAAGCAGTGGCATTCTACCTTCACTCACAAATGTTTAATTATAACTGAGGTTTCAATTAAAAATAAATACAATAGAGTGCCAGAATGCCGAGGGGCTGCGAATGGGCTGGAGGAAACAAGGATTAGAAACAAGGCTTTTGTCTTCTTGCCTCAAAAGGTACAGGTTTTAGGTGTATATTATGAAACATCCTGAAATGTACATTGACTGACTAATTTTCAGGTAAGAATTGTAGTTTTCTTTTTCAAGAAGTATGAGAATTATTAGTGTTTTGAGTTTTTGAGTTACTTATACACAACTTTTCTAATTCATTTATACTCTGTGCCAAAAGTTTTCGGCCTGTTATTTAAAGGGAAAAGTATTCCATAGACAGTGTGAGCAAGATTTGAAGGGATGGTTAAGTGCCACACAGTCACTGAGTTTCTCAATTCCACCAGTAAAATTATGTTCAAGAACTGAGGATGCACTCTCTGCTTTGAATTGCCTACATCTGTCTGCGGCTACCAGCTGAATGGGATAGTGTGACACGCTCACTTCTTTTTCTTATAATCAAATCAACCATGAGGTGTTTCATGATATTTTGGTGTAAATGACCACAAAAATAAATTTTACATACTCATGTTGTCTTGGGTTTTCGCAGAGGTCACAGTGTTTCTGAGTATGGTGTCAATATATAGTTTAGGCTATTATTAAACATACAAAGGAAAATGGAGACTCAAGGCAATGATCAAAATAAATCATATGGAAAAACCTTACCTTAGACCTAAAGTATCGCATATTTTAAGCAAGGAACTTATTTCACCTTTATCTAGAAATCGATTTAATTTTGAATTCTATTTCTCCACAGGCTCTATATTACTAAAATATGATGAAATTGTGAATGTTTAATTATAAATTATGTCTCAAACAAATGAAATGCAGTGTGAATTTTAGTCTCTGAATATTAAGATAAGAAAACATTACCATTAAGACTGAGTCTACATGTTACATGAAACAAAGAATTGAAGCATTATTTGAATCTTGAAAGCACCAAATATACAGGGGCCCCAAGTTATCTGGATAAAGCTCCTACATATTCACTTCATTTGTGTAGATGCAGCCTGACTGCCTGCATCTAAATGGAATCAATTTAGATTCCAAGTGGTTTGAGGTTTATTAAACACAGTGAACTTAGCAAACATGCATTCCCCTCAAGCTTTCAGGTTGGTATTTTCTGCAACCATGTTTGAAGAAGCAAAATCCAGACCTCTCGTAGGCATAGAGGCAAGAGATCGGGTTCCTGTGCTGCTCTTCGCCATATATAAAAACTGATGGTTTTGGTGATGTGGGCCATAACATGAAAGTCATGTTTTTTCTACTATTTAGTCAAAGGAATGATGGGTACTGTGAGTCAACAACAAGCACGGCTACAAAAGAGAGCAGGATTAATGAAAAGAGGATACAGGACTTGTCTGATTGCTCCCACAATGATGCACCACCCTGGATAGCTCATTAGGGTACTCAGAAGAGCACAAAGAGTCTTTTAAATAAAGCTTCCTTGTTCCAAGAGTGTATTCATCACCTCATGCCTATCCAGGATAGGAGGGCTTTCTCCTTGGAGTCTGAATGAAGCAACCTGTAATCAGTTGTATGGAGATGTTGCTAAACATATTTGTAACCTCAAAGAAGTCTTCATTCACCGGAACAGGGACAACCTCAGAAGAAATGGATTTTTTCCCAAGGGTACCATTTCTATTTAGCATGTTAGTACCTTTGTAACCTATTGGATGGAGGACACTGTGGGAAAAGCCTGGAGAGACTTCCCCCTTTACAAATAAAAAAGAAATCTAAAGGAATAGGAGCCTTGTGACAACAAAAAAGAAAAGAACAAAAGTGACTCATGTATGTCAAATGGAGCAGGCACCTAACTAAGCAATAATTAGAACTTTGCCCACAATTCTCTCAGACGAGGCAGTCACAGGCTGGATTTTGGCATAGGGTGTTAATGTGTGAAAGTAGAAGTTGTCTCAAATAGAAGAAAAGCCTAGGAACATAAGGCAGAGCATCGTGACTGCATTATAGTAAAGGCAACAGGGCCTCTTTAGTTAGATGAACTATACTCAGTTGTGTCTTGGCTGTGCTGCTTTCTTCTTTTAAGTTTGAAGTTAAAATGCTACAGGATTAGTCTTACCTGCCACAGAGAACAATGTGGCTAAAATGACGCAAGCCAGGAGAGCTTTCCTGAATGAATGATGCTGTGCTCAATTTACAATAGCTAGAAAATAACAGTAATTATTATAGATTGAGGGGAAAACAGTCTGTAGAATTGTGTTGCAAAGTTGTAAACTTTATGCGGCTAGCAAAAATTCCTGCAAAGGTTTTCAAGTTAAAGTGAAAATAAAAGACTTAAATCATTAGAGTGGTCTTGCGCTCTGGATCTCACATGTTTTCACATGTGAGAAATCTCAAATGATAAAGTATGTACTTTTGCAAAAGCATCCTGTAGATTTAATTGTAAACTAAGTTTAGCAATGTTTTGGGGGGCTGGCTGCCCCAAAGTACAGTGACAGACTAATCAATCCTTCTTTCTTCATTGTTGAAACTCAGCTAATGAATAGTGAGCCAGAGCAAACAGCGAGTGAGAACGCTTGATGAGGACACAGAATGTAGATACATACACTTTATAAATCATCTTTAGATTGAAGACATTTTACAAATATTGTCATTAAAAATAATTATTTAGGACAACATTTTTCAATTGTTCTCATTTTTGGATGAGGTTCAAAGATTGTCTAAAGGAAGAAAGGGCGGGGCCTTATCTACAAAGAGGGTCTCTCTGACGCTGGGCTCTGCTGCCGCTGCTGCTGCTGCTGCTGCTGCTGCAGGAATTCCACCTTGCCAGGCCACTAGCATGTCCTTTGCCTTCAGGAAAGAGAGATTTGCAACTGAACAAATGCTTTACATTAGCAAATGGACAAGCTACCGACTAATGAATGGCACTTCTTTATCAGCATATACAAACTTATACCAGCTTATACCACACTTGGCACACACACTCTTAAGGCAATGTGAAACATGACAGAATAGAATATTTAGTTGTTATTTTGCAATTAGCATTTTACCATAATGAAGACTCTAGATGTAACTCTTTCTAAATTTAAACTTTAGCAGAATTTTCCATTTTCATATTAAGAAAATCATAATTAACTAATCTTTAAAATGTGTTGCTGCCTAAACATTGGAAAGGCTGGAGGATTAAATTCAGTGCTGATAAATTAAACATAATGTGTTTGTACATATATAGTTATAGTTACAATTATATAGACAAATATACATGTATATGTACATATAGATATGTAGAAAAAGATATGAAGCTAGATATATAGATAGGTAAATATATACACGTATAGGTATATATGTATACATATGCATGCATATATGTCTATAACCATCTACCTATCTATATATATGTAGCTACACATCTTGTGTACATGCATATATACCCCTTTAATGTATATCTCATAACTTGAGTGCTTGTATTATATTTTATGCTTAGTATAATTCTAGACTGTATTTTTTGTTATATATAAACTTTAAATAACTAGAGATTCTGTTTCAATGACATATTTTAAAGTCTTCAAAAAGGAAAAAATTCAGTATGTATGTAAAAAGGAAGAATATTGGCAACGATTTATTATTTTTATTAAGAAAATAAATCCCTACTGAGTTCCTAAAACTTGTATTAGTTGCTACTTGGTGTGCATATTTGTGTGAGTGTTGGTAAGAAATCCTATTTTGACTAATGCCTGAACAATGGAAATATATTAGGTTTTAGATATGCAAATGTTTATTATAATACTGGTATTGGAATAACAATAATACTAGCAACTGTAAATGTGAACTTCCTGCTATTGAAGGAGGCTTGTAACTTTAAAGGCTCATAATTTTAAAGAACCATGTGACTTTGAAAGCACAAATAAATTTCCCTTAGACCTTTCTTCTAGCTCAGTGGCAAAAAAAAAAAAAAAAAAAAAGTAGAGGTATTTTTTCATTATTATTTTAAAGAAATTCTATAGCTAGACTCAGAAAAAGTGCCAAATTTTTTATGGATATCTGAAACAGGAATACTTCCACTGATAGGAGATACTTTTCTTAGTGACGTAAGAATCTGCACCAGAGGAAGCACTAAAAGAAAATGAGGAAGACTAATGGAGAAAACCATGGAAGCTAGATATGTGAGTGATTTGTTTAAAGCAGAAGGAAGAAAGGAGTCCACACTCTCCCGCAAACACACAGCCCCAAGTTCTTCACACATAACTTTCTAAAGTATACGGTCATGAGAGAGGGACACAACAGGATCACAGCAGGGAAAACGCTACAAACCCAGAGCTCCATTCTTGGGGGGATAAGAAGAAATCCTGATGCCTTACCAAACTGACAAAGTAGCTGGAAACAGCTGAATGTTGTGAATAGAGATAATTGTCTCAAGTTGTGTTTTTATTAAAATCAATTCTAAGATTGGTAAAAGATATTTTAAATGCCTAAAATCCTAAAATTCTTTTTTGATGTGGGTTGATTTTCCTAACTAATCATAAAGTTTTTAAAACTGAATTTAAACCCACTGATTAGAACAGTGGAAATGTCTTTCTGAAGCTGGAAGCACATATACTTTGTAAGTGACTTCTTATTAATAATACATTCAAATATAAGAAGCATTATAACATGCAAGGTCTTCCAACTAAAAGAGCTTTCCTGTAGGTATCTAATTTAGAGACAGCATTGTTAACAATGCTGACATTTAAGTGGCCATAGCTAAAGCTTTGCAAAGAACATTCCATTACAATGAATGCAAAAATCTACAACTTTTCTTGGTATTCAATTTAACAGGATATAAGTGTGATGGTTGACAGTGTGAAGGCTGAAACAACTTTCATAACTAGAAAGTTTACCTGATAATTTGAAACAAAGAGCCTCTTAGAGAAAGCCTTCAGTAGAATAGGGATACAATAGAAATGGGAGATTTACGGCATACTCATTCTACCTTACTGAGTTCTGTATCTGAGACCAGGGTTAGCAATACCTGCCCACACTTTCTCCTTCACAGAACTAGTCCACTTTCAAGACTCCAGCCCTAGTCTGCTACAAAACTGACCTAATCAGATTAACCCAACATTTCTATACCTGTGTTCACCTTACCAACCACAATGCCCCTACTTTTCCCTCTGGAAAAAAAAAAAAAATCTTTTTTTCTGACTTCCCTGTATTCCATTTGGATCAGTTGGCAAGTACAATTAGTTTTTATTTTTTTAAATAACTCATTTCCTAACCTTTTATCTATTGCTGTCATTATATTCATTCTAGGCCCTTAACAAGTCATACTCAAACTACAGGTATTCTAGAAGTTTTCCTGTCTCTCCACTCCATTCAACTGTGAACTCCACTGACAAGTTAATCTCCCAGAACTTCTAAGTTGATAATTCTTTTGCTAAAAACACTCAACGTCTGTCCACTCTCTCCTTAGTCTGGAAAACAATGATTGCCACAAGCAACATGTTTCCTGTTTCTTCTCATCACCAGTGCCTGACTATACCTCACAATATCCATTTTTCTCTGAAAATGCCGGCCATTCCCAGCTCTCCTTTACACAGGCCACTGCCCTCTTATTTCCCATCCTCTTTGCCTTCAGTATCTCACTTGAATATCAATTTCTCCATTGATATTTTATTGACAATGTCAGTCTTGCCTGTCTTCTATCTTACTTCATACCTAAGCTTCCTCGGGGCAGGGACCTTGTAATTGAGATTACAGGTGGCTTCATCCAAAGGATTAATCAATATTTCTAATTTGTTCATTTTAATTACAGAAAAACATTTTACACAGTGAGATTGTAAAAGGCAATGTAAAATGGAACTTTACTAATCAAATCACATATTTAACATAAAGTAGATCTTACTGATTAAAAGAAGCTTGTAACAAAACACTTTTGAAATGTAAAGAATTGTGATAGTAATAATCATTAGCAGATATGTTTGTTTTCCTAGAAATTTAAATATTCACAAATTAGTTTTTTTTAAATACAGGGTCATGATTGATAATATTCAACAATGTAATGATTTGATTAAGTTTGAGAGTGCAGCAAACACTTTATATGTTTAGAGAATAAATGTTTACTGATCAGAAATAAATCTAATGTTTCTAGAACTCTTCATAACAAAAATTAATATTTGTACAATACTTAACCAGATTTTAAAAAATTTTTTTCAGATGCATTCCTAAATTGGCCTTCATAACATTTTAAGATATGTAATGAATAAAATTCCCATTTTAGAGATTAAAAAGTAAAATCAAAGAACCTCATGCATTCATTAACACATTTGATTCTCAACACTGAAGGGTAGTTCTTTTTTTTATTTTAGAGAAGAAACAACTGAAGTTGTCAGAGTTTGAATAAAGTGTCCATAGTCTAAATTGAGGGTTTTTAAAAAATACTTCTTCCAACATGTATCATGATACATACAAATAGCACACACCATGAGTGGGAATGAAAATATTTTTTATTGAGTGTCTACTTTAGGTGTCAAGCTTTGTCAGTTATCCTAATGATAATCCTTTAAAGTCGTTTTATTTAGAATGAGACTCTTTAATTACACTTAATATATGGCAGGCATTGCGTTAGCAGATGGGAATAAAAGTTTGAAATGCTTTACAGCTGACAAAACAGAGGACAATTAAATAAATTGTCCAATCATACTACAATAAGTGGGAGACAGGATTTGAAACCAAGTCTTTAGGTATACAAAGAAATAATTAGTACAAAATCCTCCTTATAACTTTAATCACGGCCAAAAGAAAATATAAAATTCACATACATTTCATAACTCCACTAAAAATTTTTGTGTAGGATTACAACTCTCACAAGTATACTGTCAATAATTTTTTTTGGCATGAGACTGTTATAAATTATGGGCCCATGAAGTTTGATTCCCCACTAAATACCATGTTGGGAAAGTAATAATTGGATTCTCTTTCCACCCCTGACCACACAGGACCAGCTACATATTCCGATGTTAAAAATTATTCTTTGTAGGCTAAACTTTTTCACATTTAACTTCAGTTAGCTTATCATCCAAAGTTACAGTGGTTAATTATACTGGATTTTGTATCACTACATTAGATATCAAAACAAACATCACTGGACATGTATACTGTATATAAAATCTTTGAGTTACAGGACACAATCCATAAAGGAGAAAATACTTCTTTCTTAACTATGCCAAATTTCTTGTCACGCAGTTTAAATATGGGAAGGTCAGATTAGGTGGGGTGCCTCTATCTTCAGTAAAATATATTTTATTGCAGCAATTTTGATGACTGGATCACATTGTATACATAGCTCCTAAGTAACCAAAAAATCTTTGTGTTTATGTGAAAAGAAGTAATGCATACAAAACAGAAAAAAAAATTTGGATTATAATCCAGATTCTCTCAAAAACTTGATGCATAATCTTAAGCAAGAAAAATCTCTGAGCCTTTTTTATATGATAAAAATGGTGTTAAACTTTACCTATATATAAATGCATGGTGTCCACCTTAAAAAGAAATATTAATAAGAAATCCATCATGCCTCTTTAGAAAGAGCACCATGTAACAATTCTGCTTACTTAGTGTTCCAGACAAGTCAGACACAGTTGAGTAGCTGAAGGACCAGAGTAGAGGCTGAGGCAGGAAATGTTTTCTAAATTTTTCCCTATCTTATTAAATGGCCATGGGCAGGTTAGATTTTTCTCTGTCCAGGTTTGCCCTTCTGTGACATCAGGGAGCTATCTCAATTTTTTTTTCTAATTCTCAGAAACCTAGGAAAATGAAGTCCCTTGAAAAACTCTAAATAAGTATAATCAGTAATTTTATTGTATGCTTTCCCCTCCCTGCCCTACTTTCCCACTCCCCTAGGGAGTGGAATTAAACATGAATCTCTATTTCAGGGTCTATTTCTAAGGGAACCCAAATTATACAGTGCCAGTTTTATAAGAGCTGATGATGGGCTACATTATGGGTTGATTTATGTCCCCCTCTCTGGCCGCAAAATATATTGAAGTCCTAACCCCACCGTCATCCCCAATACCTCAAAGTGTGACCTTATTTGGAAATAGAGTTGTTGCAGATGTCATTACTTAAGGTAAAGTCATTGGAGTGGGCATTAATCCAATATGACTGGTGTCCTTATAAGAAGAACACAGAGAAAGGACATGGAGTGAGAGACACAGAAAGAAGGCCAAGCTCTGATAGAGGCAGAGCTTGGAATGTTGCAGCTGCAAGCCAAGGAACGCCAAGGAATGGAAGACCACCACCAGAAGCTACGAAAAGACCAGGAAGAAGTTTATCTGGAGGCTCAGAAGGATCATAGCCCTGCTGACACCTTGATTTCAGACTTGGAGCTGCCAGAACTATGAGAGAATAAATTGTGGTTGTTTTTGCTTTTGTTTTGAGACAGCTTGCCCAGACTGGAGTGCAGTTGCCCAGCCTGGAGTGCAGTGGCACAATCTCCGCTCACTGCAGCCTCAACCTCCCAGGCTCAGGTGATCCTCCTGCCTCAGCCTCCCAAGTAGCTAGAGGCATTTGCCATCATGCCCAGCTAATTTTTGTATTTTTCTGGTAGAGATGGGGTTTCCCTATGTTGCCCAGGCTGGTCTTGAACTCCCGAGCTTAAGCAATCAGCCCACCTCGGCCTCCAAAGTGCTGGGATCACAGGTGTGAGGGTGGTGCCCAGCAAAATTTCTGTTGTTTTAAGCAATCTGCTTTGTGGTACTTGGTTACAGCAGCCCTAGGAAACTAATATAGGCTGCAGTACCTATTTCAGGTGTTTTTCAAAGGCTGTATCATATCAACTGCTTATTTTCTCAATCAGAGGCTCCTTCCTCTTATCTCCAGGAGCCCCAAATTCCTTTGGCTTTAATGTTTACTTCAATTTCTTCTTCAGTTTGGTGACATATTCATCACTATTCTCTGATTTACTAACCTTGATTTCCCATTTAATTTTTACCTCTGCACTGTACTTTGAATCAGGACAGCAGTTATCAAACAATAGTATGTATCAGAATTGCCTGGAAGTCTAGTAAAAATAGATTGTTGGACCTCCACCCCCAGAGTTTCTGATTCAGTAGGTCTACATACAGCCAAGAATTTGCATTTCTATCAAGTTCAGATTCCCAGATGCTGCTGATGCTGCCGGTCTGGGACCATACTTCAGGAATCAGATTTAGGGAGTTGTCAGAACTTCCTGCTCTAAATCACCATCTCTGACTCAGCCCGACTCCTTAACACAGTAATATCTTCTTCCACTCCCATTTTCCAAAATCAGCAAAGGATGAGTTTCAACAACAATATTAAATTCATATTCTTTTAAAATTAGAGTCACATAAGATCTCATGGCTTTATGGTGCCAGAGGTTACCAGGAGCTCCTGGATATATCTCATAGCCCTGATAAACATCTTAAACATTGCCGCCCGATTCATATTTCTTTTTTGTGTGTATAAACTCATGGGGTACAAGCGCAATTTTGTTACATGCATAGATTGCATAGTGGTGAAGTCAGGGTTTTTCGAGTACCCATCACCCAATTGATGTTCATTATATGCATTAAGTAATTTCTCATCACCCACCCTTCTCCACCCGCTCCCTGATGCAAGCCTCCACTGTCTATCATTCCACACTCTATGCCCGTGTGTACACATTATTTAGCTCCTCTTGATATGTGAGAATATGCGGTATTTGTCTTTCTATGCCAGATTTATATTTCTCGAACTCCTTGTCTCAAGCAATCCTCCTGCCTCCACCTCCCAAAGTGCGGGGATTACAGGCATGAACCACGATGCCTGGCCCAGACTCATATTTCTAAAGCACAAACATGATTAGGAAATTTATCTGCCTAATTATTTTTTTTCAGGTCAAAATTCAAACTCCTTGTCATGATCTTTGCAATCTGTTGGTAATCCCACCGGCTTAATCCTCCAACCTCGTCTCCCATTTCTGGCCTATGGTGGGAAGAGTACACACAGAGAAACAATATTTGTTGAGCACATACTACAGGCTGGCATTGTGTCAATTGTATTATTTCTGTTATCTCATTTTGTCATCACACAAATCTACAAGGAAGAAATTATTAATTTCAAGCAATTCATTTTGATTCAAAGGAGGACACTGAGGCATAATCAGCTACAAAGATGACTGAACACAGACACTGCTTCTGATCATCCACACCTGGATTCAGACTCAAGTCTAAGTAATTCCAACACCCTTTCCATCCTGTAGTCTCCTTACTTGGAGTGATCAAACATCCTGGTTTACCTGGGACAGTTCCTTTTTATTTGTATTGTCCCAAAATAGTGAGGAAAAGCACCCCTTTCACTCTCAAAACTATCGTTCTGACTTTGTTAGTGAATTGCATGGCCACTCTGCCTATACTCCAAATCTACCATGCTGTCACATGTTTCTGGAATGCAGTATACTTGCTCATGATTCCATTTCTTTCCCAGTGCTGTTTCTTCTGCCTAGAGAGTTCTTCCTTTCCCTTTGTCTCCCGGGAAAAATATGTCCCATTCTCAGGAATCAATTTCTTCACTGTCTCTGGGAAGTCTCCCCATTCCTCTAACTTCAGACAGGGGTCAGTACCCTCCTCTGTGCTCCCCATACTCCCATGTTACTGCTATTCCTTTATACATTTTTGAGTACTTGGCTGTCCTCTCTATCAGCCTGTGAATTCCTTAAGGTTTGGACTGTACCTTAATTATCTGTATATCCACAGTGCCAATAATTTTGCATGGCTCAGAGAAAATCTTAAATATTTGTTGAATAATGGGATAAATGAAATAATAAATTTGAAAGATCTAGTCATTTGCAACAATTACTATAAAAAGTAGAAGCAGTCTCTTCTAAAAAGAGTGAGCCTATTCTAGCTAGATCTGATTTACTGTACCGGGAGGCTGCTTAAGTTCTGAACAGTTGTTCAGAGAGCCTCTGACCCTGCATCAGCACTCATACCCAGGCCGTCCTGTTTTATGAAGTGGTCCTCCTGTTTGGAGTCTGAGATATTGTTCCCAGTTTTCTGGACTGCTCTCTACTTCTATAATGTGCCTCATGCTCCATTTAAATATTTTCCCATATTTGCTTAAGCCTGTGGTTAAGAGTCAAACCCTGGGTTTGAATTTGTGCTCCACTATTTCTTAGATGAGTGACTATGTGAAAACCTCTTAAGTTTCCTAAGCCACAATTTCTCCATAAAAAATTAGTAAAATTGACTGTATCTCATCTAATTAAGTTTTCGAAAGTACTTAATATAGTAGCTGGAACTTAGTAAGAATCCATAAATATTAGTTATGATTTTTATTAATAGTATTATTATTCCTTCATCATGCCTAAGCTTTCCTACCAGACTGAAAACCTTGTTTCCTCCAATGATCTATTTTTGTCCTTTAGGACTCATTAATTTTAGATATCTCAATATATGTTGTATTCCCTGAATAAGTCCAACAGACTGTGAATGACTCTAGATATTCCACCACTTCTCTGGGCTCCTACTGTCTCCTTGCCTAGCACTAATGCTATTCCATAGAAGCTTTTTAAATCAACCTCTTTAACTGACTCATCAGATTAACTGACTGTCTTTGTATGGTTCCTCTAGAAGACAGAGCCTGAGGCAGGGATTAAAGTGATGACACTATGGACATATAAGCCCAGGGTAATAAAGATGAAGAGAAAGAGAGAAGTGAGGCAATAAAAGACATGGAGTAATGCAAATCATTATCATGATGGTCACCACTTCACACAGAGTTCAAAAGAGTTGACAACAGTACACCGGCAGACTTAACTCAGCACAAAGGGACTTCTTCCTAAAAAGGTTATAAGGAGAAGCTTACCTTATTGCTGTCCATGGAATGAAGAAAGGAGAGATTCACCTGTGAGAGGCCTCCCATCTCTCATTTCCTATTGGTCATGATTCATCACACAAGGGGACATCTCCCCAGCACTGCCAATGGACTCTTAGGTCCCCTGGTAACCACTCAGGAGGCCAAATCCCATGCTCGCAACATGGCATTTTATTCATATCTAAAGTGGAAGGGTGACTTGGTACAAGTAAATACCACCTGAGAAAGAGAAGAAGAAATGTCAACTAGGGGATCTGAGAAGATACACATGATTTGTGTCCAATATACTGATTCTCTAGGCCTTGTCTAAAAGTCTCAAAACTCATGATGAGTAGGCTATTCTCTAGAATTCTCTAGTCTTGTGCTTTAACTTGATGAATTACATGCTTGTAATAATCACTTATGTTTATTCTTAAATTTTTTCTGCCATTTGTGCTTGTTATTTGAATTATACAATTATTTAATTAAATACCACACATTAGTAAAATATGAGTGTGACAAGAATGAAAGGTGCTTGTATGGAAATGAAAAAGAGTATTTTGGAAAGACTTAATAAAGGTAAGTCTCTTGAAAAAGGTTTGCTAAGAGAGATGAAAGTGAAATATTTGCAAAGGGCAATGTTAAGAAGCCAGAAGAGTCTGCAGTCATATGGTTTCACCCATGCCTTTGCATTCTTGCTGCATGGAAAAACCCTGCACAAAGCATGATCTATTTGGTATTGCATGAAAGACAATATGGAAATCCAGTCAGCACACTCATCATTGAAGAAAAGTCCTGGCTAACAACAACAAAAATATTGGTCATTTTATATACATTTTTATTAAAAATTAAAAAGAATTTTAAATTACAATTAAAATTAAAAAGAACATTTAATTATTGTTTAAGATTCTTTGCTTTAACCAGCTCTTTTGATTTACCAGCTATAATAGCATGGCTTGATTATGCTGTGGTAGCAAACAACCCCCAAATCTCAGTGAACGATACGACAAATCTTTATTGCTTGCTCACCTTAAATCTGCAGGCTCTGAAACCTATCCTCCATGGGTAGCATCTGAAGCACTTACTGTATGAAGCATGTGTCATCCTGGGTCAATATGGAAAGGAAAGAGAAAACATGAAGAATCCCACGTAGGCATGTTAATGCCCCCTAAGATTGATGCACTTCACTTCTGCACATTACCCAAAGCAAGCCACATGACTAACCCTAAATTCAAGGAGGTAGAGAAGCGTAATCCTCCCGGGTGCCAGAAAAGGAGAAGAGCTAGAAAAACCAAGGAGCAGCAGTGGTGTTCACCACACCAACCTACTGTGCCAGGCATATGGACTACAAGGGCTTCTACTGAATCAAGTGAAGGAAGCTGAGGCAGAGAAATATACTTTTTTTTCTTTAAATAATTAAACATAAATATTTAAAATTGGTAACTTAGTGGCTATATTTTCAATGCTATTCTTTATTTCTGGGAGCTTGTAACCAATTAATTTAGTACTATATATACCTTATCTCGGGTCCAGCTTCTTTGACCTGAGACTACTTACAATAAACAACAGCTTCAGTCCAACAACTGGGTCATGGAGAAAGCTGGGGAGTAAGAAGGAGGTGTCCCTCTCTTGGCTGTTGTATTTTCAAAAGAACGCTTTGGTTAGCTGATAGATGGCTTCTTTATTAGAAGCAGTAATACCTCTAAGTTATCACTTTGTCTTCAGAAAGAGTAACAAATTGTGCCTATATTTAATTTTTTAAAAATTTCCATGAAGAATTGGTGTACTTTTCAATCTACTTATGATATGTTGTGAGTCATTAGAGGTAAATTATATAAATCAAATTATATTATAACCAAGTTATACTATAATATAAAAATGTCACGCTGGGGAGGTGTAGAGATCAAGTCTATTTACAGTGCTGAAGAAAAACCAACCACTTTTTCCTTTTCCGTTAGTCTAAGCAGCAGCCAAGTGTGATGGAGTTTGGAGGGATAGGAAGAGAGACTGTGTGGGTGGAAATAGCTTCTTGGGTGATTCTGATTGGCCCCTCTCTAGCTAAGGGCCTGGCAGTGGGCAGAAAAGTCACAGCACTTGGGAGAACATTGGCTTGACTACTTACTAATTGTATCTCAACCTGGAGCAAATTGCCTTCAGTCTTAGCCTCAGTTTCTTCATCCAATAAGCCTTTTATCTCATAGTGTTATATTAAAGATTATATAAGATAGTAGCCACAAAGAGCCTTAATGCTGTGCTTAAAAACTGGTTTGAAACATTGTAATGAATTCAGGGTAACAAGGGCTTAGTTACCACCAAAATCTTCAAAAAATAATCTGCAATTAAATCCAATATTTAAAATAACAAGAACAAAACACCTACTGCGTGTTTAGAATTTAGACTCATGTGTCTACTACTTAATTTCTACTGCCTGAAATTTTTTTATCCTTTGTGCGTATTGTGCTCAAAATTATAGAAAAGTAGTTTACAAACTGTGTGTCACTCCCCATTCACGGGTAATGAAGGAAATGTAGTAGGATGTGACAAGCATTTTTAAATGAAACAAATAGAATAGAAACAATCAGAACACATCGCATGGTTTCTTAGTAAGAATTGTGTACATTGTAATAAATGGGTCATGATTTAAATATATTTCCTATTGTACTTAAAATTTAAAAAAATTTAAAAAAAATAATAAAAATCTTGTGGAAAATACTCCTCTAGAACAAGCCCAAATGAAATCTGGTACATATTTCTATCAAATAAATCTGATTTTATTTCACTACCTTTTTAATGGAGAATAATAAAATATAAAATATTTTAGCCACCCACCCAGCCAACTTTTTCTTTAGTAATTCCTATATCATTATGTATCCTTTAGAGTGACTTTTACACAGCTAGTATGTCAAGAAAAGCAAACGTACATGATATTGGACAAGAAGTGGTTACACAGTACGTCCAAGTTACCGTTGCTTACAGGAGATTTAAAGGTGTTGCATAGGCACTGCCAAGGCACCAAAGAGACGGTGGATCCAATTAGATTTCCACCCTTCACAGGAGGGACTTGTCCCACTTAGGTGGCTTTAAAATGTCTTTCTATGTCACATAAAGAACAGAATGCAACAACAGAGGAGAGAAAACAGCTTGTCATAGAGACCAGAGGCACAGAGACTCTCTGAGCAGCAAAGTGAGTCCTGAGGCAGTAAAGCCTCCCTGGTTGTCCCTGACCATTTGGGACGAGGTCACCACCCCAGGATCCACAGATTGGGCCAGCATAGAGATGTTTCTCCGAAAGACATGACAGCAGAGACTGATCACCACATGCATTGTATAAACTTTGTAGATCATTGTACCTGATTGTTCAGAGTCAATCATCTGTAGTTCTCATTCCAGCCTTTAGTCATTCTCAAGAAATCAAGAAAATGTCATTTTTGTAATATTCTGAGTTCAAGAATCTCCCTACACATGGGAAACAGGTTACCCATACCAATTAAATCAGAATTTTGATGCCCTGTGTGGACTAAACCAGGGAAGCAGCCTCTTCTAAATCCTGCTTCAATGAGGCTTATGTCTGCATGGGTGTGCTACTCATTGAACACAAATATAAAGGTGCCACCAGACAAGGAGTTTTTCTGGTTCATCATTGCACTGCAGGATGCCATGAAGGAGTCACAGGCTGTGGCTTCCATGAAGCCCGTGACAAATTTAATACCCTATTACTTGTGTCGTCTGCACTAGCACTTCATTTGGTGACATCACTGGGTACAACTAAAGTTGAAATTTGTGTGACATTTTTGCAGGTGTTGCTTTTCACCAAAAATGTTATTTTACATAGTTTAGCCACAGTGCAGTGCTTTAAGTCTAGAACTAAACCTCAGGAAATCTAATGAGGTTGAAAAGAAAAGTGAAAGTTAACGGCTGCAGCTTTAACAAAGGCTCATCCTCCCTCCGGCTCTAAAGAGTCAGTAACTGAGTTCAGTAACTGAAAATTAAATTAGAAGAAATGCCACCTCTGCAGCTACAGCTACCTTTAGCATTAACAATAATATAGAATGGGATGGGGGTGGGGGGTTCTGCTCAATAGAGCCATCAAGAAACTTTCAGAGCCTTTAAACGGGATGGAATCTGCTCTTACCATGTTTTAAGCTTCCCTTGGTTTTATATTTTGCCCTCTCTCTAGCCTTCATTTCCCTCATAGCCATATCCTTGTCGTATTTTTTCTGTTCTCTCCTTTCTGCTGTTTTTTCCTCCATTGCAAGTCTTAATTTCCATTTTCTTCTCTTCCCCCACTGCCACATTTTTTTCCTTGATTCTCTGAGTTTGTTTTCCCTCCCCTACCATGTTTACATCTTTACAAGAATAATTTAACTGATGACAAGGTTTTTGTGATTTGCCCTGTTCAGAATCTGGGAGAAAACAGTTAAGGATTCTCCAGGGCATAAGGCTTTTGACTTTATCTGGTCACATCAAATGAACAGGAACCATTTTCTCAGGATCGTATTATCACAGTAAGTGATAAGGATGTGCAGGAAGAACTTACGAGCAGTGGCTCACATTTAAAAAAAAAAGGCTGGGGGGAGGAGTGGCAAGAAAGGAAAACATATTAGCCTTTGTCAGGCTCCTCCCCATTCTTCAAATAAGCATCTCTAAAAAACAATCAAGCAAGGTTGTCAATTTGGCCAAAAATCAGCAATGTTTTAATATAATAAGATAGTACTGCCACCCATTTACTTCTAAACAAATTGTGAAAGAACCTAACTATATTATATAGCTATAAAGAAATAAAGGCTATTTTATCATAATTTGATTATGCTACAAAGCACTATGCATAGCAATTCGTGGATCTAATTTTAGTAGTAATAATCTCTTGCCCTGTTATGTAAATGGAAAAAGACTTTCTACAGGCTTCAGATAGAGATAAGCTTAAGATCGAAAGCATGCAAAAGCCATGGTTCAATTACTCTAAAGTGATCTGCATCATATGTTACAGTACATCTTTCTGCCTTTGCACAAAAGCTCGTATCTGCTGCAAATTAGCCATCCTTTTCTAAATGCTACAGATGTCCTCTGAGAGTTAACTGATTCAAATTAAACCAAAATCCTGCAACTACAAAATAATAAGGGGCATTTAAAAATTTTTCAAAATGCTTTTCCCTTTCACGGTTTTCCCCAATTTTTGCACCGTGCCCCCACCCCCCCTTTATTTAAGAAAAGACAATTGAAACTTTACAAGTACAATTAGTTTTCACTCCCAGGCCAATCCATTTTGTGTAAGGATAAACTACCAGGATGATCCCTTTCCATGTTAAGTCTCCACAGGCCACAGAGATGCAAGCTCAGACCAGACTTCTCAGGTACTAGCCTGGCCCCCCAGCAGACAAAACTCTCACACACATCTTGGAATACAAGCCTCTAGAAATAGAGCACTTCACCAATCCTTATTCCCCAGTCTCTTTGGTTGCTCATCAAAATGAAGTTTAGAGTAATCCAAAAGTTAGCTACCCCCCGGAGCACCAGGGCTTCAGGGATAGCTGGAGCCACCCATTGGAAGTACCAGGCTTCCCTCTCAGCGGGCCCGTTCCCCTGCATCTCTCTACAACTTAGGTTTATTCACTCCTACTGCAGACAGTCTTTTCCCATACTCTGGAAGACATGGATGTAAACCACCATCAACCCTTCCATAGCTTCACCACACAGGAAGGCATGGCCCTCTGCCCCACAAGCTTGTATAGGATATCCTGAGGGAGGACCCTCCTAGGCCCTCCTTAAGTCAGTTTTTCCCTCTATGTGGGCTGTCACTCCCACAACACCCACTATGTCCTGGGAAATTACCCTGAATCAGTGGTTTTCACTAAGACTGATTGGGATGGGAATGCAATTTCCCAGCGAAGAGGTGGGTTTTGTATTCAGAAGAAAAAAGGTTTAAAATACTATATTTCCATTCTACATGGGCTGTGGCTTTCTCAGTTTGTGTGAAGGCCAAAAGAGAAAAAAAACAAAAACAAAAACAAAAAAACAATGAATAGTTAGATGTTGATGCTTAAGGCTAAGTGCATTGTTTTTAGCCGTTTACCCTATAATTTAGTAATTACTCTTGTCGGAGGTGATGGATATCCTAGTTACCCTGATTTGATCATCATACATTGTACACATGTATTAAAATATCACATGAACTTCCAAAATGTGTACAACTATGATATAACAATAAAAATATTTTTTAAAAGTTAAAAAATAAAAACTATCACTACTTCCAAAATTTTCCCCTATCCTAGGATTTTATACCTATTGTTGTTCCCAAGGGGAAAAAATTGGATAGATAGATAGATATAGATAGATAGATAGATGATAGATAGATAGATAGATAGATAGATGATAGATAGATAGATAGATAGATAATAGATAGAGACTAAAGCCTTTCAATACTGACTTTCAGTGATTGAGATATTAAATACTTCTAGAGAGCAGCAAGGATGGGACATGATATCTTCTGTTGATTAAATTAGAACTGTTATATCTGAGTAATACATGAGAGAATATAGAATGCTTATTGCACAGGTGTATTAGTTTATTATTGGGTCTTTACATCTGTTACTTCTTTAAGATCTCTCCTCACCCAGCCCTCCCTAGCCACTCTACACCCAGCCCTGGAGGCATCATAATATAAAATGGTAAACCCATTGCTAAATTCTCTGGGTTTTAAAAAATTTTTCTGTATAAATATTGGAATTAATCACAAACTTCAATCCTCTCCCCAAAATGGAGTTCTATATAATTTTCAGGAATATAAAGAGAAGTTACGATTTCAATCCAAATTGTAATACATTTTTTTCTGTACCCACCAAAAAGTTTTATTGTGCTTTTCCTATACCCCCAAAAAAGTTTTATTGTACTTTTAACTTGTATATTTATTGTTATTAAACTTTTTTATACATAACACTAGAAATGTTAACATTAACATTATAAGCAATGTTGTCAGGCTGGGGAACTTGAGCTTTAATTGAGGTCTTGATTAGATCACCAACTGGCTACATGGCATTGGTTAGGTCACTTACTGTTTCTGGGCCCCAGTTTTGTCATCTAGGACTTAATAAACACGCAGAAGTCCTTAGCAAACTCTAACATGAGATACAAAAATATGCTAAAGATGAGGTATTGTATCAGTCAGGATTCAACCAGAGAGGCAGAACCAGTATGCACATTTTTGTGTGTATTTTATATTTTTATATATATATTTTAAAATACATATAAATACATGCTTTCCCCTGCCCCCCGATTCCATCCCATCCTGAGCTCTTCATCATTAGAAATGCATTTATCTATTATGAGCTGGTTATAGACAAAAAGCAACATCACATCACCATGACTTTGCTTTAGTTTTGGACAAAAGATGCCTTTATATATGTATTTTAAATATATATATATATATATAAAAATATACAGACATATATACACATATATCCATGTACATGTATGCACATGTGTGTATGTGTGTGAGTGTATTTACTTATTACAGAGAATTTCTGGCTGAGCAGTCATTTTAATTACATTTTAATTACATTTGGAAAACTCAGAAACACACTTGAATGGGAATTCTGGGGAAAGTGGTTTAACCTAGCCAAGATGACACATCACAAAGCTATCTTGGATATCAAAAAGAAAGATGCTATCCCAGAAGGCAAAATGAATGACCTAGTCTACTAATGCCCAACATGGCCCAGGGAGTCATTCTCTGTTCTTGTTCATCTCTTCCCAAGCCCATGCACATTCTAGCTGACAGACAGCACACCTACACCATCCTTGTCCCAAATGAATGTGGTGCACATTGAGGGAGGCTTGCTTTTCCCCTCCCTGATCCTATCCCATCCTGAGTTCTTCATCATTAGAAATTCATTTGTCTATTATGACCTAGTTATGGACAAAAAGCAACATCACATCGCCATGATTTTGCTTTAGTTTTGGACAAAAGATGCCTTTCTTTTTCCCTTAGAAGTCATCCTGGGCCCTCCTCCTACTTTCTTTACACTGCTGTTCTCCCTTTAGGCTTTGGCTTTGAGGAAAAGGTTAACTGTGTATTTTTAAGTACATTCTCTCCTCCACTGTTTCTTTCTTCACTCTTCTGAATTATAGGGAGTGTACGGGTCAAAGCACAGTAAGAATGGGGCTATTTGAAGAATTTTTTAATGCATCCACAAAATAAATAGACCATTGGGTATGTCTTGGTAATTTTCTAGTGATTCTTACTAGTGGAAGAAGCTTTTGACACTGTAAGTACCCAGGGTCCTGACTAAAATGAAGTTTAACTTATTGTCCATTATCTCTCTAGCATCGAGGGTCATTCTCACAAGCTATAGCTTCAAGCCTTTCCCAATAGCTCCCAATCCTGTATCTGAAGAGAGAACAGAGGCCACATTCAGTGTCTCAGTATCAGGCCACCCTCCTACCAGCCCTACCATAATCTTGCTGCTACTTTCTAGGATCACAATGAGTTCTTGTTTACTCCACAGTGACTGAACCTCTGCCACACAGCTCTGTCCTAATACTCTGGGTCTCCATCCTGCTGTACCAATTTTCTACTTGATTCTCTGCCTCAATTCTGACACCTAGAACTTTGACTTGTCCCTCCTGCCAAGGCTGCCGAGGCTTGTCAACTGCTTCTGAATGCCAGTTGCTGTGACTGGGTATTCACTACTTACAGCTGGATTCTCCAGAAGATTTCACGGAGGTTCCATCTGCCTGAATCACTCATTTGTCGTTATCAGTCAAAAACCAGCTCATGTCCTCTCCAACCCTCAGTCAAAACCTAGCCCTCTTCCACACCCCTGCTAATGCATACACGTTTTGCCTGCTTGTGGGTCAGTCTCACTCTGATTGCCCAACTGTCCAAAATGCCTCTGAATATCTACTGCCAGCACTTCCCTTGGGAGCTTACCTTAAGGCTCTGTTTGGGTTCTCAGTTCCAGGTCTTATCAGGCAGATCCATTTTAACACCAATCAAACAGCTGTGTTTGATCATCATGAACACGTGACTTTTTTCCTAGAGATGCAAAAATCATGAGAAGCTAAAGTATATGAAGAACAAATTTCATTAAATCTTAATGTTTCTATGTTGACAAAATAGTTGAATACAGAGTTCATAAAGACCTTAGTGAAACAATCATGGGTGTTGATAAGAACAGTTTATGCTAACAGTGTGTAGTTAGTATAGAAAAGTCTTGCTCGCTTGCTTGCTTGCTTTTTCTTTCTTTTTTGCTCTTCTTCCTATTCTTTCTTATTCTTAAGCATCTGGTTTTGAACCAGAAATTGTGGTAAACATAGGGAGTACGAGATGAGTTTATCTATCTATAACATACAGGCACAAACACATGTTACTGGCCTTTGGAGTTTTCACATCCTAAATAATGAGACAAATGAAAAAAACAAATAATTACAGCTCATGATGAGAGCTCACAGAAACGAAAGTGCATGATTTTGTCTAGAAATGTGGGCAGGAGGCATTTTAAAGAAATGAACTTGAGTTGACTTTTAAGGAATGATTGGAATGAATTCAGCAGGCAGATAAGTGGAGAAAAGGACTTTCCAGGTAAATGGAATAGAAGAGAAGAGACATACAGAAGAATGTGGTACCTTTGGGGAACTGCAGTGATTTCTCTATTGCTGGCATCTAGTATTGGTCCACGAACAGCTGGAAGCAATGAGTCTGGAAAGGTAGACAGGTCTCAATACAAAAAGTTCCTTATAAGTCATGTTAAGAAATAAGGACTTTATCTTGCAGGTGGTAGGGGAGTTTGGGGAAGATTTTAAGCCATGGGGTGACATTAATTTGTTTTAGACCAAAGGGAGGTATACAGAAGAGGAGAAGGCAAATAGTTAGAAAATTTCTGGAAAAGTTCAAATAAAAAACTTTTGAAAACCTAAGAAAAGGTAGTTGTAAAGAAAACAGAAAAGAGAGGAGGTTAGAGATAAAATATTTGGTGTCTATAGAATACAATAGTAGCTACAGGTTTAGATGAGTAGAAGAAGAATGTGTAAAGTAAGATAAGAAAATTAAAGAGGACACATTTCTAAATGGGTCCGGAATCCTTCGCTTATTTCGGCTGAGGTCTCAATCTCCTCTAAGTAAGTATGTGATGGTGGCTGTTCATCTTTTTCTTGGTGATATTCTTTTCTCATTTGACATCACCATCTTTACTGGAATATAAAGTCATTAAAAGAAGAACTTCATTTTGTTCATCTTTCTAGCCCAAAATATCCTGAAATGAAGTAAGAGTTCAATCTTGAATAAGATATGGTGCAAATCAAAATGGATCAAGTCAGTATATCACATCCAGGTTTGGGCTGGAGTCTTCAATTCTTGCCAGGCTGAGGCTGTTCCAGGCCTGTGCACCACTTATTTTTCTTCTTAATCTGCTTTAGTGTTTCTTATAACAAAATACCAGGTAATGATAGAGTTTTGTGTCAAATTTCTGCTTGATGTCCAATGACTGCCTTTATTTTTGTGCTGGCTCTTTAGAAACTCTTTTTTTCATTTTGGATGTGTCTTTCAGTTCAGAGTCATCAGCATACAGCAGTCCCAAATGACTCTCTCAATGACTTTTAAGGATCCTCACAGCCAGAAGAACCTCTCAGAGGATCAGAAGCACAGTCTAATACCAGCTTACAGATTCCTTATTACATCCTTACGCATGAATAAAACAAGCTAGACCTATTATGCAGCTATTTTCTCTTCATTGGTGACTGGGAATTGATCTAAAAAATTATGCAAAACCCAACACCCCACCTTATATAACATTGTCTCCGCAGCTGAATTAGTCAAGTTATAGCAACCGTGCCATCCTCTTGTCCAAAACACCCTGCAATTCCAGGACTACACAGTGGGCAAAATTAGAATGTAGTCAGTCCACAACATCCCTGACAAGTACCGTGCCAGAGCAATTCAATGTCTAGACTAGTTGTTTCAGTCAGGAGATTAACTGGCTTATCTTAACCCCAAGGGCAACCTTTGGCTCACATCCAGGAAGTCAGCAGTTTTCAGGTTAGCCCCTGACAGATCAAGCCATCAGCCATTTGCCTAATCCCAGCATCATACACAGAATTACAGAACAGGACTTTTTTCCACACAATTTGGGGTTTTAGCTGTTTTCTCTTTAAGGTTTAATATATGATCTTAAAAAGCATTTTTCTCAACAAGATATTGGCTTAAATTTTCAGAAAAACTGCATGCCTTTTGGAAATATCACAATTCTTTAGTGAGAAAGACAATTTTAAAATATATCTACATTTATAAAATGTCTTCTTAGAAACATTGCTTTACAAAAAATTAACTAATTCTAGAAAACCAAAACATGTTCCTGTTTCCTCATGATTTACAGCATTGTTCTTCAAGATCCTCTTTCTTTCTTAACTGAGCCAAAATGATATCAATGCCCCACACAAAATTTCACCTTCGAACTGACTTGATTCATGACCCTTGTTAATTCTATCTGCTCAGCAATTCTACTTTAATTATTTTGAAGAGTTTTTGTGGAGCCACTGGAGTTTTTACTTTGCCACTGTATGATGGTTATAGGCAAGGAAATTTTAATATATATTCTCAAAGAGAAATTTACTTGTAACATTATAATATAATAATCACAGTTTTCAAATGCATATTTTAAAAAAACTATCACAGAGGCTGGAATAACTGAGTTGCACTTTTTTTAAGTTCCTGACAATATTTCAAGGACTGAAATTGGTGTTGGGCTGAATTTTGTGCCATGATAGATAGTGTACAAAGCACATTAACTGGCAACAGCACGTTCTCTGTAAGACAGTACTCATTCAGGATGTCAGCAAATATCTCCTGAATGCCTTTGTGCCAGGCACTATCCTAGGCTCTAGACAACAAGACAAATTATCAAGAATTCACAAATACATTATTTAAATAATAACTGAGTGCCTAATATACATTATGACTGCTCTCTGTCATAAATAAAATACACATATTATGTATGGATATTTTACATGTAATACCCAATGTTGCATATACACAGGAAAAGCTTTAGCTGGCATTTGAAAGAGGATGCTTAATGAAAATGTCTCCTTAACTAAGATTATATTTAGCACTGATTTGCCAGAACAGTATTTGTCAAGTCCATTTTCCTTTGTATAAATGGACCACAATGTGTAGCTTCAGTCTCTTAAACTTCTGGAAAGCATATCTAAAACATTTAAAAATCTTGTGAAACTAATGTTTGCACTGAAGTCAAAGTTTGTGTTTGAACTTTAAGAATACACTAGAAAATAACTTCTAATCGGGCCTAGAAAGTATAGTGGATAGAAATGCTGAGCCCTTGCAGTTTTGAGGACCAGTGTGATGCAATGGAGTGAGCATGGGAAACAGTTTAAATTTTGACTCAGTCAAACTTGTGCACGCCACTTAACCCTTCTGGGCTTTAGTTTCCCCCTTACAAAAAGCAAAGTTGATGGAGCTGTCCCAGAGATGAGCTCTGAGCTCTCACCCTCCAGTTCTACACATTCTATTACCTTAGGGAAGTGGGAAACAACCCATTCCAGGGCAGAGTTAGCTAAAGAGAGTGTCATAGAAAATTTGAGTAAATGAAGACTAGGATGGGCATACTTCACACTGCTATCATTGTGAATGTTGAAATATCAAAATTCCCAGATAAAAAGTACAAATTCTTTTTTTATTTTCATTGTGTCAAACATCTGCAGGTTTGAAAATATCAAGAGATGCTTTTTAAACATGCATTTAACCTGTTGTGTTCTATAAACCAAGCTATTAAATCTAAAGATCAGTGCTGAATAAAGCTGCTAGTAGGATGGTGATTAATTATAGCTAATATGTTTTGACCCCTCGCTCTTTGCCAGGTATTATGCTAAGAGCTTACTTAAATTATTTTGTATTTTTAATGCTTGCTTTCAACAAGCATTAGTTCATTAATACTATCTATGTGATATTATTTGTATCCCCATTTTATAGAAAAAAGAATCTTGGACTTAGGATAAATAACTTGCCCGAAATCAGTCCATAACAGCTGTGAAATTCTACGCCACGTCTGTCCAGCTCCAGAGGACAGGATCTTAACTGATATTCAATATTACTGATACTCAATATTGCTGAATTCAAAAATTTATAAAATTATATACAATGGCTCTTTTTAAAAACCGAATGAAACTTATAATACATTCATCAAACATAATGCTACTTTATGGGACTTTTATTGGGGCTAGCTAAGGGGCTTTATGGACTCAAAAATTGGAAACTGACTACTGCAATTAGTTGTTCAGAATAAAAGCCAGGCTTGAAAGTCCTTCTTTGCATTGAATTTCAAATGTTCCACTTGGAATGAAACAGATGTTGAACTTTAGATTAGTTCAATCTGCATTAGATTTATCCTGTGCACACAGTAAGATAGCACTAACATGGGCACTTACGCTACTTTCTCTTTAGGGACACCTTTCCCCAGATCAGCTTCATCTGCAATTTAAAAGAGGTATTTTCAAAGAAATAGAGGATTTCACTTAAAAGCACAAGTATTAATCTAGTGAGTCTGAGCCATGGTCCATCCAATATTCTGTCTCTACTAGGGGCATAAAGAGCCATGCCACTTGAAACACCAAAGACTGGGGATACACCCTGAGACTTCTTAATATTTTTCTGTCCTCTGTGCATTTAGATTAACCTTTCTTAAAGCCTGTATTTTTTCGGTTTTTTGATAAAAAATTTCCAAGTATACTAGACCCTTTGAGTAAATGAACATAGGAAACACCTTGGATTTGTGGATTCCAGAACTCATAGTGCAAATAGCTATACTGATCTCTAACAGGGGTTTGACTTCCTCCTTTATTCCCATTGAGCCTTGTCAAACCTATCCAGGTTCATCATAGATTCAGTTGTCTACTGAACTATTCATTGTTAAAAGGGATATTAGCAAGTGTTAGGTGTTAAAAACATATAACATCAAACTGAGACTTTCTTCTTGAGATAACCAGAAGAATTAAGTAAGAATTTTATTTTATTTTATTTTATTTTATTTTATTTTATTTTATTTTATTTTATTGAGATGGAGTTTGGGTCTGTCGCCGAGGCTGGAATGCAGTGGCACGATCTCTGCTCACTGCAATCTCTGCCTCCTGGGTTCAAGCAATTCTCCTGCCTCAGCCACCCTAGTAGCTAGGATTTCAGGCACCCACGACCAAGCCTGGTTAATTTTTGTATTTTTAGTAGAGACGGGGTTTCACCATGTTGGCCAGGCTTGTCTTGAGCTCCTGACCCCAGGTGATCCACCCGCCTCAGCCTGAGTAAGAAGTTTTAAAAGATTTTCTTTGGAAGTCAGTAGCTACTGGAAACATTTTATGTAGGGTGCAATATCTCTCCAAATGACTACACATGATGTAGAGAATAGCAAATGAGACTTGTGTGTCTCCAAATTCCCAAATAAATCATTCTAATTGTCTAAGTACATTAAATCATCTAGGCTACTTGGGAAATCCAAATCACAATTCTTTTTATTTTGTGAGTATAATACAGAGAATTTTATATCAAAATTAAAAACGAGAACAAAATTAAAAATCCCAAATAATGTGGGTAACTTCTCAAACTCTTTTAGTCAAAGTGCAACCAGGAGAGAAAATGTAGTGGTTTTCCCTTTATCAGTCTCAAATTTATCGGTTTAAGAAGTCCACCTATTTCTCACATGTTTTATTTAATGAGTAGTCTATGCTCAACCACTCTGTATATATTCTTTGCTATTTCATGAGCTTCAGCTATATCATCTCAGCCTTTGCCTCTCTAGTCTGAGGAGACACACTAATTTAGTCTTTCCTCATTTCTTTGTTCTTTATTTTAATTATAAAAAGTAGCCTGAATTGGACATTTGATAGTTTTTAGGTTCTCATGTTGGATATATTTTCTTAGTAGATTCTAACTAATGTTGGGAGTACCAAGAAATCTAGATTGAACTGAGTTCCTTCTTTAAAACTACAACTCAATCAGAGCAATTGCAATGGTCCCAACTCTCAGTTCCTTAACTCCTCTCCAGAACCTTTTTTTTTAAAGGCCATCTTACCTCTGTGCTTATCACAGGACCACTGGGCTTCATGCAAATAGCAGAAACAGTCTTATGGACACTAAAGTTTTCAGGACTACTTGGTGATTTTAAATTGCAGTCTGTGAATTTTCTCTTGTCCAGATATGCAACTTCCAGGGGTCATGTTTGAATGAATATCTCAGTGATTCAGATGTCTCGTACCCCCTTAGATATATTTAGCAGAGGATTAATCAGGCAGGTTGTCATAGCACAATGACCATTACACTTGGAAGTCATCCTGACTCTCTCACCAGCCATCTTAATGACTAGAAAACCAGGGCTTTGGGATCCATTTTCTTCTACTGACAAGCAGAGAATTAGGAAATGGTTTTCAAATTCTTCCAGAGAGTCTTTGGGATTTCTTTGGTGCCCTTTCCCATGCCATTAGGAGATGGGAAGCAGGACGAGTGATTGAATGGATGGAGGTTTGGGCACCATGCTTCCCCACCAATCCCCATAGCATCTCTGTTTTCCTCTGCTTTATGTATTTGGCTTCCTCCCAAGACTGTTTAAATCAAGAATTTCCAGGAGGGAAAGAAAAGGAAAAGAAAGGAAAGGAGTAAAGAAGAGAAAAAGAAAGAGAGAGAAAGAAAGAAATAAACAGAGGAAGGGAGGGAGGGAGGGAGGGAGGGAGGGAGAGAGAGAAAGAAGAAGAAGAGGAGGAAGAAGAAGAAGAAGAGGCAGAAGCAGAAGCAGGAGAAAGAAAGAAAGAAAGAAAGAGAGAGAAAGAAAGAAAGAAAGAAAGAAAGAAAGAAAGAAAGAAAGAAAAGAAAGAAAGAAGGAAGGAAGGAAAGAAAGAAAGAGAGAGAGAGAAAGAAAGGAAGGAAGGAAGGAAAGAAAAGAAAGGAAGAAAAGAAAAGATAAGAAAGAAGGAAAGAAAGAAAGAAGAAAGAAAGAAAAAAAAAGAAAAATCTGGATGTGTTGGCTCACACCTATACTACTGACTCTTTGGGGAGGCAGAGGTAGGAGAATCACTTAAGGGCAGGAGTTCAAGACCAGCCTGGGTAACATAGGGAGACCCCATCTCCACAAAAAAAGAAAAAAAAATTAGCAAGACATAGTGAGGGGTGCCTATAGTACTAGCTACTCAGGAGGCTGAGGCAGGAGGATCTCTTGGGCCCAGGAATTTAAGGTTACAGTGAACTATGATCTCACCCCTGCACTCCAGCCTGGGCAACAGAGCGAGATCCTGTCTCTTAAAAAAAAAATGGAAAGAAGTAAGGAAGGAAAAGGACCAAAGAACTATATAATATCTGGTAGCCCTGGGATGTGTAAACATCTATCATTATAGACTTTACAGTAGTAGTTTAAATTTGTATTATATGCAAACCATTTATATTGTGTAAAATTTATATTCATTTCCCATGTAATTCACATAAAATTTAAAATGCTAATTTTTCTATCCTATCTTGGTGATTTGCTGTATGCCAGAAAGTTTGCTAAGGGATTTACTCATATATCACTTTCCATTTAATCTTTACAATAACCTTTGGGGTAAGTATCATTATGCCCATTTTATGAATAAGCAAACTATGACTTAACTATGGTTAAGCAATTTGCCCAAGGTTTCAAACCCAGTGTTTTAGATCATTCAGTCTGCTACAACAAAATACCATAAACTGGGTAGCTTATAAACAACATTTACTTCTTACAGTTCTGGAGGCTAGAAAGTTCAAGGCATTGGCAGAGTTGATGTCTGCTTTCTGATTCTTTGCGCTGTGTCCTCACATGGTATAAGGAACAAGGCATCTCTCTTGGGCCTCTTTTATAAGGGCTCACCCTCATGATCTAATCATCCCTCAAAGACCCCACCTCCCATTATCACCACATTGGTGATTATGTTTCATCATATAAATTCTGGGGAGATACAAATATTCAGACCATAGCACCTGCTAAGTGACTTCACTAAAGTTCAGACACAATTCCATCAGGTTCCACAGATTAAGTTCTTAAGCCGTAATGCCTCTAAAATATTTCTCTGAACAGAAGCCATTCACATGGACGATAAATACAACTCACAAATACAACTCCAATAGTCACATTACAAAAGAACAAAAATTTTATTTCAGGAATTACAATTTAAAAATAAATAAGGAAAAAAAGCTGTACAATTGAAATTTTGCTTTGTAGGAATTCAGTTTATTATAACAAACTAGGGTTTTTCACATGTACATTGTGTCTTAGTTTATTCTGGCTGCTATAAAAAATACCATAGACTGGGTGGCTTATAGATAACATAAATTCATTTTTCATAGTTCTAGGGGCTGAGAAGTCCGAGATCAGGGTACCAGCAGATTCAGTGTCTGAGGGCCCAAAACCTTGTAGGCAGCTATCTTCTCACCGTAACCTCACATGGTGGAGAGGGCGAGAGATCTCTCTGGAATGTCTTTTATAAGGGCACTAATTCGTTTATGAGGGCTCTGTCGTCATGACCTAATCACTTTCCAAAGGCCCGACCTCTTAATACTATCACTTGGGGTTTAGGATTTCAACGTATGGATTTGGAGGAAACATAAACATTCAGTCCATTGCAAATGGTAGATAAATTACATTGCAGAGAAACAACAAATTGAACTATCTACCTTGTGTAGGTGAAATTTTAATTGTTTTCTTTATTCTTTCCCCTAAATTACTGTTTCAGGACATATGAGGGGTTAAAAGAAGTAGTTAACCACAATTCTATAATCGTTTTGTATACATAGTTCGGAGAGCTATAATTGCTTAAAAGATAAAGGCTATAAAGTTCCCTAGTAAAACTCACTCTGTGTGTATAATTTTGGCGTGGATATATTTTGTAAGTGCAATTACTCATGGATACAGAGTAAACACTTGTAATTTCACCAATGATTGAGCAATTCTAGGTCATCCTCGTGTGCTTCAAAATGATTACTCTGACTTCAAGTGACCAGTTGGAATGAAAGCTAATTGACTGTTGCTTATTTAATCTTCCTCATATCTCCCTGCTCTCTGACCCCTTCATTCACATAAATATTACTGGTCCCCTTAACTCCAAGGATATTCCCAGACTATTCTCCAGAGTGCAGCATCATTTTCCCATCTATATCTACCTACCTTTTCTGTACTCTGCCTTCTACAAACCTCCTCAGATACATCAATTTCCATAAAGATTTAGTGGTTTTACAAATACATTCATCTCTTCTTCTGGCAGCCCAATTGTGCAATATAACCCATTATGAAATACAAATATAGCTTTTAAATATATTCATCTATTTATAATATAATTTATATTTTATTCGTGTTAACCTTTTATATTGTTAACTTCTTGATGTGGCTGACTGATTGATTGTTCCTCAAACACATCTTCTCTCCTTTCTAGCATAACAATTTGAGGAAAACCACAATAATCTATTTCATGATGAAGTCCTCAGATTTAGTAATTAACTGATACAAGTTTATTATAAAAATTGACAATCCAAAGAAGTTATTATAATACACTATCCTAGAAAAGAGTAAAAATATGGATTAGAGCATTGTATACTTTATTACTCATGATTTTGTTAAAAATAAATAAAAATAACTGCTAAGGTAACACTTTGTATTTTTATGTCTCATTGATGCATCACAAAACCTATACTGTTTTCCACAAGGAACTAACAAGTTTCTCTTGAAAAGATGTAACACATTTTCTGCTGGGTAGGAAAAATCTGAAGTATGATTTTAAATTTTGTTACAGCTTTTGTGCAACTAGTAGTCAAAACAATTATTTTTAATTATCTGGAATAATTATTTTCTAATCAGATACTAATGTGAGAGGGATTAAGTGTTTTTGTCTTTGCATTTTCCTCTCTCCATCATAAACTCAACTACCAGCAAATGCATAAACATCTACTTCACTTCCCAGGCCTCTCTGTGGTTCACGATACTGCTAAAATCACAACCTCTTTTTCAAGGTATTCATTTTCAAAGAGCTCTCCTGTAACCATTTGTCCCTTTTCCTCCCAACTCTCAGTAAGAATACAAATAATTATAGGAGAAAACCCCCAAATTTTCTATCATGCTATTGTATGTCCAGTTGACTTCTCTTGCTCATAGGAGACATTCTTTACCTTCATCAATTAAAAGCCTTCCAGCTCCCATCCTGAAAATTACATAAAACTGAAATATCTTAATCAATAGCAGTAAGCAGAGGTTTACTGAAATATTTGGCCATTCCAGACCACCCTGCAGATAGCATCAGTACCTCAGTAGTTCTATACCAAAAGTAATCTGATTTTTAGAATGTCATTCTCCATTTTGTAACGAACTGATGTAACCCTGAGGACCTCCTCCTAATGTTTTTCTTGCATAGATTGTGTAATGGTTTCCATAGTTTGGAAACCATGAAAAACAAAAAAGAGTGACTATATCCTCCTTTGTGAGCTTATGACAAGACAGATTCTCTAAATTTACTCTTATAGCTATGTCTCTTTCAGGAGCACCCAAAATACAAAAGGAAGAGAGCCCAGTAGTAGAAAAACCTATACTCCAGGAGTACACATTTGTGGTTTGCCTTCACAACATCAATTGCCATTTCCTCCTACATTCAGTTACTTGGAGACTCTGTCCTCCCCCACTCTGGTCCCATAGCCCAGGCTCAGTCAAGTATTTCCTTGACCACAGTGTTGATTCCATAATGGGTATCTGAATTAAGCCAAGTCCTGTCAGAGCAATGGCTGCAAGTTTTGAAAGAAAATAGTGTAGAGGTTATCTGTGAATAGAACTAAAAGAGGAGAATGTGGAGATCAAAGCCTGGGAAGGAGATGTCATATTTTAAAAAAAAGAGTCAGTCGTATCTGCAGTAAGAATACCTCTGGAATTTTCAGTTACGTGACTCAAGCTTAAAGCAGATTTTCCCTCCTACCACATGCTACATAAAAGATCCTGCCTGACTCCCTCCCATAGTATCTGTTTATTTTCTTAAGTTTTTAAATGAAATCACAGGAAAAATGAAAACGGTCTCCCCCTATCCAATGCATACCCTCAGAACAACAACAGTAGGCCATCTAGCACATTTTCTATGACAGCTACAGTGGTTTCTGCCACTCCTTCATGCTGTCTATTTTGTGGTTGGTGGTTTCCCAGAGGCTGGTGGTCCTTCTTACCAGACCATGCTGGAGGGAGGACAAGTAGAATATTCTTATGACATTACTCATTCAAGTGGATAATTAATGTGGTTTGAAATGTGGTGTTACTGACCTCACATGTGCTCAAAAACAAGAGTGATGGTAATTTTACTTTCAAACCACGATTCTTGGGCATGAGATTTAAAACATAATTTAAAACAAAAACAAAAAACATGTGGCATGAACACAAGAGATATCATCCAGTTTGTATATAAAAATGTGATTAGAGAATATAAATGTAATATGATAGTCATAGGAAAAAATACAAAAGTTGTCATTTTATTTCAAATGTTTTACTAAAAGTTATTTTTCTCTTTGAAACAGAAAATTGGTTTTATGTTCCCCTACTTGTCAAAGCCATTTAAGCAGATCAGGTTAGAGGTCCTAATTACAAGTTGTTGACAGCTTGTGTTCATACTGATACACAGTCTGACAGGTATACTATTTGTTTGTTTTAATTTAAATATAATTTACTATCCATAAAAGGTAGGAGATTAATGGTCCTAGAAACTGAAATCAGTTCTCTATTTACCAACTAAAGAGAGTCTTATCTAGGAAAGTCTGTGTTTTCATACCAATTTGTCTCATAGGTGAGAATGTATTTTGTACACTATAATAATTCAATCCTTGGTTTTTCTCTTGAGATTGCCCACAAGGGTGCTAATTGCATTGGTGACTCTTGTTACATTCACATTAAAAATTACTCTGAGTTCCCAACATCATTTTGCATAATCTAACAGCTAGCAGATACAATGACTTTTTGTCACTTCCAATACTACCATTTTGAGCCAGAAGACTCTATAACCCATTAGCAATTCCACCACCACTAAAGGCCCATTTTTTATGTCATTCAGTACAAAACTATAATTGTTTTACATTTACCTCTAAAGAAGCATTTAATCTATTCATACATTGGTGCCTTAAATTTAGCCTTTCAATATAAGCCAGTATTTACATAGATAGTGTTGAGTAATTTTAAAAAGTCTCCAACTTGAGTTTATACTATTATTGTAGACAGACTTCAAATTTAAGGGCTTACAATAATTTTACTCAGCTAAAAGTTTTCAGCACTTTTACACATATGACCTCCACATACAACCACCATTGTGATGCAGTCAGTGTTTGAATTTAAAGCAGAATTATAAAAGAAGGCAAACCCCTCAATAAGAAAAAAGTGCAAAGAACATGAACAGGCAATTCACAAAAGAAGAAATGCAAGGGTTCAGTAAGCATGTGAACAAGTAATTAATGGCACTAGCAATAATAAAATACTGGATAAAATAACAGTGACACCATTTCTTCACCAATCTTATTATCTATCAATGATTAAAAAGAACCAGGATACCTAGTATTAACACTGAGAATGCAGGTAGAAATGTAAAGTATCACAACAACTCTGTAGGAGAATTTGACAGTATTTATTTAAATGTTTTTCACTTTTAGGAATTTATCCAAAGGAAACAGTTGAAAGTGGTAAAACATATCTAAACAAAAATGTTCATAATTAAATTAAGCCATATACAGAAAGATGCATTGTTCTTGTTTTTGTTCCCCATCCCCTTCATATCTTCAGCATCAAATATAGTGTTTGGCATAGAAGTTCAATATGTGCTTAATTAATTATGTATATTGTCAAAAAATTATACTCCAACTAAATATCTAAAATTAAGATATTGAACAAAATAAGTTACATTATAGCTTTATAATAGAATACTATGGATCTTTAGAAAATAACAATGTCAGTCAATATTTGTTAACTTGGAATGGCATTTAAAATAAATTAAGTTACAAAATGGTAGCATTCTAATTTTGTAAAAATAAATTGTAAAATATTTTCAGAACATAGTCTACACTATAGTATTGGGAGTGTGTGGGCTATGAAATTTAACTCTTTTTTAAATTATTTGTATTTGCAAAACTTTATAAAAAGGTTGGATATTAATGATGTAATTTGAAGAAAATGAACACAGTTTTATAAAATCATGGAGTAAAGAAGGGTTTTCTAAGAATAACAACAAAAGCAGAAGCCACAAAGAAAAAGATTGAAGTTTTACAAATATTAGATTTTTGTCTGTTTTATACAGCTATTTACAAATTTAGCCTTGAGTCTGTGTTGAAAAAGGAGAGTCTTTGTCTTTTAGAGATCTGTATTCAAATATTGACTAATTAAATGTTACACTGTGTGGGATTTTCTTCAGCATAATCAGGAGTTGGGAAGAGGTAAAACAGGAGAACTGACTGGAGGAAGGTAAAACAGACTAGGCATGAGTTGATCATTTTTGAAGCTGGATGATGAATAAATGGAGTTTATGTGTGTTATTGCTACTTTTGTATGTGTTTTAAAGTTTACTTAACACAAAAATTTTAATTCCATACAAAAAAGTGATACAGAAATTATGAACTGGGAAAAAGTTGCAAATAAATAATAAAAAATTTGATAGGTTCTTAGCATATAATGAAATCATAAATCAATTAAAAAGGTTAAACTAGCAAAGAACACAGACAATTCACAAAAAAGAAGAAATGACAATAAGCATATGAAGATAATTATATGATTATATGATAATATATATGTGTACCTCAAAATTTAAAAAGTCACTTAAAATGGGATGAAATTTTCCATTTATCATTGTTTTAAAATGACAAAAATCTATTACTGACTTGAATAAAGTGGCAGTCTGAAATACTGTTGACAAGAGTATAAATTGTCAGAATTTCTGGTAATACATATTAAAAATACTTAAAATTTTTACCTATCCTTAGACCCAACAATTTTAGTTCTAGGAATGTAAACTAAAAAAAGAAAAAAATCATGGGTGTGCACAAACATTTTTCCAGATAAATATATATAGGAAAGTAATTTTTATGATAATAAAAGAGATGTCTAAATGTCTAAAAATAGGGGCATTAAGTCACAGTGTTGCGTTCATAATGCAATTTTCTTCTTCCTTTTATTCATTCATGTATTCTTTTTTTTCAAAAATATTTACTGAGTTCCTACTAAGTTTCAGGCACTGAGAATAAAACAATGAATAAAGACCATTTCTCTGCTTCAAGGAGGTACTAACGGAAACAAAAAATAAGTAGCAAAAGGGTTATGGGATAGGAAAAACCTGGGGGTGGGGAGTGGCAGCCACTCTGTACAGTATCAAGGAAAACCTTTCTAAGGAGCCCAAAAGGTTGAGATCTGACAAGTAAGAAGAAACCAGTGATGCAATGACCTGGGGAACGAAGATTCCAGGTCACTAAAATAATTTTGTGAAGAACATTTTTAAACATGGTAAAACGTCTGTGGTAGATTAAGTGGAGAATAAGTAAATTTCAAAATCACAGTAATAATATCTATAAATGCATACATTACACATATAATCATAAGGATATATACCAAAATTTTAAGTCTATTTTTCGTGGTGAAAATGTGAGTGATTTTTTTCTTTTCTTTTTTTTTTTTTTTTTGAGACAGAGTCTCACTCTGTCACCACCCAGGCTGGAGTGCAGTGGCACAATCTCTGCTCACTGCAAGCTCCACTTCCTGGTTCACGCCATTCTCATGCCTCAGCCTCCAGAGTAGCTGGGACTACAGGTGTCCACCACCACGCCCAGCTAATTTTTTGTATTTTTACTAAAGACGGGGTTTCACCGTGTTCGCCAGGCTAGTCTCGATCTCCTGACCTCGTGATCCACCCACCTCGGCCTCCCAAAGTGCTGGGATTACAGGCGTGAGCCACCGCGCCCAGCCCAATTTTTTTCTTTTCACTTATCATTGATTCGTAAGTTTCCTAAGGTAAATATATATTACTTTGTAATAAGAAAATTTTTTTTTAAGATTAAGAGCTCTGCACTTATAAAATTATGGTTTTCAAACTTACGTTTTCTGGAATTGAAGGTGTGGGTGTGTGGATATTGATGCCATAGGACATGTTGCACATCTTTCCTTAATATTGAATACACTGGAATATTTGGGGTTGTGGGGAAGAATTAAATAAGTAGCAAGTAAGTAACTAAAATATCAATTTTATATTAAGGTAATAAGAAACATGTTATGAAATTTAAAGCAACATTTGCATACATGTCCAAGAAAAAAAAAGAGAAAACTTAAAAAAAATATGTCTCAGAGTTACTTTGGGCTAGATCTCTAGAAACTCAGGAGTATTTATTTACTATTGTCTTCTAGAGTAATTATCTTGAGAAATGACAGAGATCCAGATAACTGGTCATATAAATTGCTAAGGAGATAGCTGGGCACAGTGGCTCATGCCTGTAACCCGAGCACTTTGGGAGGCTGAGGCGGGTGGATCACCTGAGGTCAGCAGTTTGAGACCAGCCTGGCCAACATGGTGAAACCCCGTCTCTACTAAAAAAAAAATACAAAAATTAGCCAGGCATGGTGGTGGGCACCTGTAATCCCAGCTACTCGGGAGGCTGAGGCAGGGAGAATTGCTTGAAACAGGAGGCGGAGGTTGCAGTGAGCCGAGATGGCTCCACTGCACTTTAGCTTGGGCAACAGAGCGAGACTCTGTCTCAAAAATAAATAAATAAATAAATAATCGCTAAGGAGTTCACACTAAGATTGGCAGACCTGCTTTTTTAGATGACATCTTCTGGAATACTGAAGACACTTATTTATTGCACACATACTATATTGCCAAGGCACCTTGCTAAGTAGTGGACATCAGTAGACAATATAGGCAGGGCTTCTATATCATAAAACTTATGTTCCAGTTTTTATCATCAGAGAATAAGTTTATTAATTTATTAGTCAGTAATTTTCTTTTTTCTTTCTTTTTTTTTTTTCTTTTTTAAGACGGGGTCTCGCTCTGTCGCCCAGTCTGGAGTGCAGTGGCACAATCTTGACTCACTGCAACCTCCACCTCCTCAGTTCAAACGATTCTCCTGTCTCAGCCTCCTGAGTAGCTGGGATTACAGGTGTGTGCCACCATGCCCAGCTAATTTCTTCATTTTTTTGTAGAGGCGGGGTTTCACCATGTTGACCAGGCTGGTCTCGAACTCCTGACCTCAGGTGATCTGCCCATCTCAGCACCCCAAAGTGCTGGGGTTACAGGCGTGAGCCACCGTGCCCAGCCCAGTAATTTTCTTAGTATTTATTCAACAAATATTTATGGAGAGCTTACTATGTCAGACAATGTTCTAGGTGGTGAGGATATAATAGTGAGCAAATACTCCCACATTTACCAAAATTTAGACAAGTTCCAAATAAGGATAAAAATAAAGACAACTAGGCCAGGCATGGTAGCTCACGCCTGTAATTCCAGTACTTTGGGAAGCCGAGGCAGTAGGATTGCCTGAGCCCAAAGGTTGGAGACCCACCTGGGTAACATCATGAGACCCCATCTCTAAAAAAATAAAAATTAAAACAAATTAGCTGAGTGTGATGGTGCATGCCTGCAGTCCCACCTACTGAGGAGGCTGAATGGGGAGGATTGCTTGAGCACAGAAAGTCAAGGCTGCAGTGAGCCGTGTTTGCATCACTGCATTCCAGCCTAGGTAACAGAGTGAGACCCTGTCTCAAAAAATAAAATAAAATAAAATAACTAATAGAACTGTTATCTACCAGAATTTGAAAACTGAAACTGTTCATAAAAGTGCAGTATATAAGCAAATCATTTCCATATTTATTTACATAAATTAAACCTTAGTGAAATATTAGTGGAAATATTTTCCATTTTACTGATTTCCAAAATAGTAGTGCTGACCAGTAATATAAAAGGATAATAATATTCTTTTCCACAAAAGAGACACTGGAAGAATATGCAAGTTGAAATGTTACAACAAAAATCAACTACTCTATGTTTTCCTCATTGTAATTTCCTGGGTAGCCTCCTCCTCTGAGAGCTGCCAGAGAAGATAACACATAAAACAAAGCGACTTATAGAGTAAATGTTGGAAATCCTAGATGGTGATTGACTGGAGAAGTCATGATGTATAATTTATCCAAGTGGCAAGCAGCTTGAGCAAGCTCTAATGTAATTTTGGGCTTAATTATTTGGAAAAAAGGTAAATGGCACATGAAGGAAATCCATAAGTGATACAAGCCTGGGAGCTGTAAATGCCAACGAGAGGAGGAAACAGTGCAGAGGTGTAGGGAAGTAGCATATATCAGGAGGCAATAGCCCAGAGAAACTCTACTTGGAAAATACACAGCAGATATGAAGGACTAATGTTGTCTCCTGGGCCTATCAACTGGAAAACTAGAGCTAAAGGTTTGCAAATTGCACACTTACTCTTGTACACATGTTATTGCATCATGTATACTTTCACGGTCGAGATCTGTAATCTTCTGATATAACCTTCTATTTAAAGAACCTACAGATGAACAGATTTCAATTGTGCAACAGATACATTTATTCAAGTAAGACTCAAACAGAAATAAATATTAATGGAGAACCAATTAAAAGAGACTTGGAGAGCAATGCAATGGGTATCATTGGATTCTACATTTTAAAAATCCAAACATGGTTATGATTGAGAGGTGCTTATCTCTGATTATAGTTTAAATCTACTTCTAAAATCCCAAATCCCCACCACCCTACTATAGAAAGCTTCACATTGTTCTAGTTCTTCCCAATCCTTCATGTTCTTTCAGTCCAGTTCTCCCACAAAATAGTTTTTTTCTCAAACCGTGACATAGAGAGAATTTAATTCCCTCTTCATTAGATGTCACTCTGTATGTGTCTGGGTTTATCCCTGAGGCCATTTATTTCTTAGTAGGCAGTATTAGAACACCTCACAACCCATTGTGGCCCAACACAGGGATTCAGAGTAGAACTATTTTCCCATTATGTTTTCTCTACAATAAAATAGCTTTTTTTTCTAAAATGGTGATATGTAAACATAAATGTTTACTAATATAAATACAGTATTTTAAAAGCATATTAATTAAATAAAAGGAAAATATAAAAATTCATTAATACCTAATTACAATTAATGTTCTTCCTCTGTCAACTCCTTTCTTTATTATTTAATTTAACACTTACTTGTTCTATCTTCACACATAATCACTTGGAACTTTTCCTGATGTTAAGACCTCTCGTGATAGGCACTCTCCTTTGTGATCTTGCTTGCCCAATCTCTTATCTGTACAAACTTTCCCATCCAGAAGATTTAGCTTTGCTTCTGCTGTGCTCTGGGAGCCAGTGATGCTAACTCTTACCACCCAACTGGACATTACTACCGACTTGTCTCCTGGAGACATCAGGAGTTCAGCTTTTTGTCCCATGAGGATTGGCAGAGACTGGAAAAGTGTGTGTGTGTGTACCTGTGTGTGTGTGTGTTAAATACTATCTTGAAAACTACCTGATTCTTTTTCTTCCCAGGAATTCACTCTTACACCCTCCCATTTAGCACTGGCCTCACAAACAAATACAATTCATCAACTTTCAAACCAGTCCCAGCTCAGAGAAATCTACTGAAATTGAATCGTATCTAAAGAATTGGAGGTATAACAAGGGTTGTACTGGTAAATATTTAACAATATGTTCTGGGGTGGAAGGAGGGGTGAGCGAGAGGCCTGCCTTGGAGCATTTGCCATTTCTGTGGTGTAAATACTCCCACCATGGCTAGTTTTAAGCTTCCCATGTGATGTCACTGACTGTGGAATCAGAAAGAAGTGACAACTTTGGCCTGTGCAAGCCAGTTCAGGCAGTCTCCAACACACCTGGAACACTCAGTTTACTAGACAGAAACTTTCTAAAAGCGTTAAACGGTACATAACAGCTTTCAAAATACACATTCCAGGGCTTTGCTTCCTGCAGTGGCTATGGATTGCCTGAGTACAAAGATAGATACATTACGCTTGTATAAATTTTGAATGTGAAAACATTGGAAATCATTTTCAAGACCTAACACAGGTTAATGCTATTAACCACTATTTATATCAAATCCATCACCTCCCAATATGATTGCATGAAGCAGCACCCCTGTTCATCCTCCCATTAGCTGGATTGCAATGGTCCCATTGCTAAGATTATTTCAAATTAAAGCTGACAACGTGTTTGAAAAATATACACTCAGGAATATCCTGAGTTGAAGGAGGTGGATAAATAGTGGGAGGAAAATTGTCTGATTAGCAAATAAGAGTTCTTAGATTGTATTTCCTGAGGTTTAATATTAACAGGATAATCATGCACAAAAAATTTCCTTTGAGACAAAAATGAAAAAAGTAATTAAAATCATTCAAATAACTGATATTGAAATTTATCATTTATAGTTCAAGTTCTTCCTCTTTCATGAAGACATTCCACAACATCTTGCTGCAAAAATGCCTTGTTTCACCACCCAGGTGATAAACCCTTGGAGGACAAGGCAGACCAGACATCTGCATCCTCCATGAAGTCAAACATTCAGTACTTTCTTGATTGGTTGATTGACTTCAGCTAAATTTGAAAGTTTTAGACTGAAGCCAGTGATTTTCTTAATCCATAGACAGAGTTGCTCTATTCTAAACTTGAAGCTAAGACATACACAATGACAAATCATTTTTTCTGATTTCCAAATTCACTTATATGGAAAGCTGTAATAATGTTTAAAACGCAAATCACATCCAGTCATCTGTTAACACATTCTTTCCCGAAAAGAATAAAAGTGATACTATCAAAATGAAAAATACAGAATAGGTAGCATTCTAGTCATCTTTTTCTGTGTAACATATCATCCCAAAACTTCATGGTATAAAACAACTTTCAGGGTTCAGGTGGATTGTTCTGGTGTGGGATCTCAATCATGAAGTTACAGTCAGATGATGGCCTCAGACAGCTTGCCAGTAGGAAGTTATACAGGCATCTCTTTCTTTTTTTTCTTTCTTTTTTTTTTTTTTTGGAGACAGGATCTCTCTGTCACCAGGCTGAGTGGAATAGTGCACTCCCCTGCCTTAGCTTCCCAAAGCACTGAGATACAGTCATGAGCCACCACACCCAACCTTTGGGCATTTTTTATCTCTACCTAGTCTCAGGGTTTCTGTATGTGTTCTTGCCAAGAGGTCTCTCCAGCAGAATGAACTCAGAGTAGCCACACTTTTCACATGGTGGCTGACAGCTCCAAAGATGCATGTCCTAAAATAAACTTGGGGAAGCTGCAAGGACTTTCCTTAGCTCATCTGAGAGATCACACAACTTCAATTCTACCATATTCTTTTATTATTTGCCATTACTTTAAATGGCAAAAACCGCAATTACTTTTGCACCAACCTAATAGTTGAGGTATTCTCAAAGGGGAGGAAAGTAAATTCCATGTCAATTGTTTTACATGTTGGGTTTTGTTTCTTTGTTTGTTTGTTTTGTTTTGTTTTTTGAAGACAGGTCTCATTCTGTCACCCAGGCTGGACCACACACTGGGGCAATCATAGCTCACTGCAGGCTTGAACTCCTGGGCTGAAGTGATCCTCCAGCCTCAGCCTTCTGAGTGTCTAAGACTACAGGTGTGCACCATCACACTCAGCTAATTTCTTAAAATTTCTCTTAGAGATAGAGTCTCACTGTGTTTCCCAGGCTGGTCTTGATCTCCTGGCCTCAAGTAATCCCCCTGCCTCAGCCTCCCAAAGTGCTGGGAATACAGGCATGAGATACCAGACCTGTCTCACCTTCTTATTTTAAAAATACTGTACAATATTAAATTGAGGTGAACTATTTGATTTGTTTTGACAAATGTATAAATCCATGAAACAATCACCACAACCAAGATAACAAACTTATCAATTGCTCCAAAAATTTTCTCATACTCTGTTTTAATACTCTCTTCTTTACTTCTTCCCCAACTCTAGGCAACTACTGATCTAGTTTCTGTCAGTATTGATTTTATGTAAATTGAAACCTACAAGATGTACTCTTTGGCTTCTTTCCTTCAGTAAAATTATGTTTAAGATTCATCCATGTTGTTCACATCCATAGTTAATTCTGTGTTCATACGGAGTAGTATTCTTTTGCATAGATATTCCACAATTTGTTTATCCATTCAAATGTTATGGATATTTGGATCGTTTCCAGTTTGTAGCTACTACAAATAAAGCAGTCATCAAAATTTATGAACAATCCTTTGAATGACTATATGCTTTCATTTCTCTTGGGCTTCATTTTACCAAGCGAATTGGCTGAACCATATGATAAGTGTATATTTAACTTCTTAAGAAAGTGTCAAACTGTTTTCCAAAGTGGCCACAACATTTTACATTACCACCAATATATTAGAGTTCCACTCCTCACCAACACTTGCTATGAGAAGATTTTTAATAATAGGTGAGTATTGGATTTCATTGTACTGTTGATTTTCATTTCCCACATAACTAATAATGGTGAGCATCTTTCCATGTGCTTTAGTGTCATCAATATATCTTCTTTGATGAAGTGTGTTTGAATCTTGCCTATTTTTAATTAGGTATTTTTTCTTATTATTGAGGTTTGAGAAATCTATGTATATTCTGGATACAAGTCTTTTGTCAAGTATATGCTTTGCAAAGATTTTCTTTCAATGTGTGGCTTGTATTTTCAATCTCATAATAATGGATTCCTTTTTACTTTTACTTTTGAAATAACTATAGATTCATAGGAAGTTGCCAAAATAGTACAGACACTTCTTGTGTATCTTTTCCCCACTCTCCTCCAATGTTCACATCTTGTATAGCTATAGTAAAATATCAAAACCAGGAACTTGACATTGGTAGATAGTTCTATGCCATATTATCAAATGTATAGATTTATTTAACCACAGCTACAGTTGAGATATGGAACTATTGAAACATCACAAATAAATTTCTTGTTGCACTACCCCCTTGAGAGTCACACCCACCCCTTCCCCCCATCATTCCTAACCTCTGGCACCCATGAATCTGTTCTCCATTTTCATACTTTTGTCATTTATAGAATTGTCATACAGTATGTGACTTTTTAAGGTTGGCTTTTTTTCACTCACCATAATTCCCTTGAACCATCAAAATTGTGATGTGCATCTGTAGTACTTTCATTTTTTAATGTTAGTACTCCATGATATGAATATACCACAATTTATTTAACTACTCGTTTACTGAAGGAAACATTGTTGTTTCCAGTTTGGAACTATTATAAACAAAGCTGCTATAAGCATTGTGTACAGGTTGTAGTGTGAATGCACATTTTCATTTCTCTGGGATAAATGCCCAGGAGTGTAATTGCTGGATTGCATAGTAAGTGATTGTTTAGTTTTTGAGAAACTTTTACACTATTTTTCAGAGTGGTTTACCATTCTACATTCCTTTGAGAAATGTATGAGTAATCTAATTTCTCTGTATTCTCATCAGCATTTCGTGCTGTTTTTTATTTTAGCCATTCTGATTTACTCGTTATAGTTTTAATTTGCATTTTCCTAATGGCTAATGATGTTAAATATCTTCTCACGTGACTATTTGCCTATATCTGCTTCAGTGAAATGACAATTCATGTATTTTGCACATTTTCCAATTCTGTTTTTTTACTGTTGAGTTTTGAAAGTGCTTTATATACTATATACAAGTCAATTGTCAGGTCAATTTTCTTTAAGAGATTTAAATAATAAGAAAAAAGATTCATGAAATAGCCATTTCCAGGACATTTCATTTACATCAGGTCTCATTTTTTTTCTTCCTTAAAGAATTTCTTTAACTTTTTTGAAGCACAGGTTTGTGGGTGATAAATTCTTTAAGCTATTGCTTGTATGAAACATCTTGATGTTTGAAAGCTGTTTTTGCTGGGTGTAGAATATTAAGTGGCTTTTTTTTTCTTTCAATACCATAAAGATGTTGCTACACTGTCTTCTCACTTGCATTGTCCCAAAGAGGAATCTACTGTCATCCTTACTTTTTTCTCAGTAAAAGGTGCCTTTTTTTTCTCTGGCTGCTTTTAAGAATTTTTTCGTCACTGGTTTTGAACAATTTGATTAGTATAGTTTTCTTCATGTTTCTTATGCTTGGGGTTCATTTAGATTTTTGGATAGTTTTCATCAAATTTAGAAAATGTCCCACCTGTATTTTGTCAAATATTTATTTGATTCTTTCCCTTCTTGAGGGACTCTACACATATATTAAGCCTTTTGAAGTTATCGCACAGGTCACTAATGCTCTTTTTTAAAAAAATTGCTTTTTTCCATGTGTGCTTCCTTTTTAATAGTTTCTAATGCATGTTTTCAAGTTTATCAATATCATTTTCTGCAATACCTAATCTGCCATCAAGCCCATCATTGTATTTTCCATGTCAGATAATTATAGGTTTTTAATTTTTGGATGTCTGGTTTTTTTTTTTTTTTGTTTTTTTTTTTTTTTTAATCTTCCCTGTCTCTAACTAACTTTTGGAACACCTAGAATACAGTTATAAAAACTGTTCTAATGTCCTTGTCTGCTAACTCTAACATTTCTGTCCATTTTAGGTCAGTTTCAGTTGGTTCATTTTGTCTTTATTATGGGTTATATTCCTCCCTTTTGAATACACCTGATAATTTTGGACTGAACACTAGACATTGTGAATTTTCCTTTGTTGGATGCTGGATATTTTTTGGTTCTTGAGCTTTGTTCTTGGACGCAGTCAAAGTCCTTGGAAACAGTTGATTCTCTTGGATCTTGCTTTTGAGCTTCATTAATGGGACCAGAGCAACATTTAGTCTAGGGCCAACTATGCCTCATTCCTGACACAAGACCCTTCTAAGTACTATACTCCAGGCCTTTAGAATTATACAGTTTTCTAGTCTGGTTGGTGGGAATAGACACTATTCCTTGCCCTGTCAGAGTGCCAGGCACTGTATCTTCTAGTCTTCTGGGATGTTTTTCCCTTGGCCTCAGGTAGTTTCCATGCATGTACTTGCTGATCAGTACTTGGCTGAATACTTGAAGGGCACACTCTGCAGATGTCTGGATTTCTTTCTCTGTGTAGCTCTCTCCTTTTTGGTGCTCCACCCTCTGGTACCTGTTGCCTTAATCTCCCCAGACTTTCAACTACATCTCCTCAACACAAGGAGTCCAGTGAGCTCTGCCTTGGTTTCCCCTTTTTATGACACTAGAGCAATCACTGGGCTCATCTCATTTTTTCCTGATCTCTCAGGGATATCTGTCCATCATTATCTGAGGTCCAGTGTCTTATAAACTGTTGTTTCAAAATTTTGGTTTTCCTCTTTTCATTTTTCATTACTGTTGTTTCAGATGAGAAGGAAAACCCAGTCCTTGTTACTGCATCTTGGTCACAAACAGAGCAATACCACCTCTTGATGGAAAATGTGTCATAGAATTTGTGCATTAACTTTTCCATGGAATATTGTGCAGCCATGAAAAAGAATGAGTTCATGTCCTCTGCAGGGACATGGATGAAACTGGAAACCATCATTCTCAGCAAAGTCACACAAGAAGAAGTGCATGTTCACGCTTATAAGTGGGAGTTGAACAATGAGAACACATGGACACAGGCAGGGGAACATCACACACTGGGGCCTGTCAAGGGGTAGGGGGCTGGGGGAGGGATAGCATTAGGAGAAATACCTAATGTAAATGACAAGTTGATAGGTGCAGCAAACCAACATGGCACATGTATACCTATGTAACAAACCTGCACGTTGTGCATATGTACCCCAGAACTTAAAGTATAATAATAAAAATAAAAATAATTTGTGCATTAACTTTTAAACAACCATGTATGGTCATCATAACTATGGATTATGGAAACAAGGTGAAGGGAATTAGTATTTTGGGGATACAATTATTTGTTATGTGCTTTTGTTTTCCTCATTTCATCCTCACAGCAACTCTAAGAAGTAAGAATTGTATATTCCACCCCACTTGACATATTACTGTAACGTAAGTTCCATGAGAATTAGAGTTTGTTTGTCTTGTCAGCTGTTGGATTTCCATAACCTAACATAGTACCTGGCAAATATGAGTGTATGAATAATAGAGTGAAGATCAGAAAGCTATGGTTCAGGCAGTTAAGTGAATTACTCAGTGTCATTGCTAACAAGTGGCATGTTTGGGATTCAAATCCAGTAGCTAACTGTAATACCCATTCTATTATCACTAGATTACCCTGTACTCAGCAAAGTGCACTAATGACATGAAATTAAAATGAACTGACTTTTCTTTTCAACAAATGGTGCTAGGAAAACTGCATATCCACATGCAAAGGAATGTTACATACAAAAATTTTTAACAACATTATATTCTAACACTGTATACAAAAACAACTCCAAATAAACCAATGACATAAATGTAAGAGCTAAAACTAAAACACTCTTAGAAGAAAGCATACAAGAAAAGCTTCACATTGAATTTGGCAATGATTTCTTAGATATCATACCAAAGAAACAGCAACAAAAGAAAATATAAAAGAATTTGACCTCATCAAAACAAAAAAGTATGCATCAAAGGACACTATCCACAGAGTAAAAAGGCAACCCACGAAATGGGGGAAAATATTTGCAAATCAAATATCTGATAAGGCATTTGTTTCAAGAATTGACAGAGAAATCCTAGAATACAACCGAAAAATAAAAACCCAAACAACCTAATTCAAAAAATGGAAAAGAAGTTGAATAGATATTTCTCCAAAGATATACAAATGGCCAATAAACACATTACAAGGTGTTCAAAATCACTAATTATCAGGGAAATGCAAATCAAAACCTCAATGAGATACAATTTCACACCCATGAGGATGGCTGTTATTAAAAAAAAACAAAAACAGAAAATATTACACGTTGGCAAGAACGTGGAGAAATCAGACCTCTTGTGCACTACTGGTGGGAATATAAAATGCTATAGCTGCTATGGAAACCGACATGGTGTTCCCTCAGAAAATTAAAAATAGAATTACCATATGATCAGCAATAACACTTCTGGGTATGTACCCAAAATAATTGAAATCAAGGACACAGTGAGATATATGTATACTCATTGTATTAGTCCATTCTCATGATACTAATAAAGACATACCAGAGACTGGGTAATTTATAAAAGAAAGAGGTTTAATTGACTCACAGTTCAGCACGGTTGGGGAGGCCTCAGGAAACTTACAATCATAGTAGAAGGGGAAGCAAACATGTCCTTCTTCACATGGCAGCAGGATGGAGAAGTGCCAAGCAAAGGCAGAAAAGACCCTTGTAAAACCATTAGATCTCATGAGAACTCACTCCCTATCATGAGAACAGCATGGGGACTGTCCCCATGATCTAATCACCTCCCATGAGGTACCTCCCCCAACATACTCAGATTACAATGCAAGATGAGATTTGGGTGGGGGCACAGAACCAGACCACATCACTCATGCTCCCAGCAGCATTATTCTCAATCACCAAAAGGTGGAAGCAACTCAAGTGTCCATTGATGGAGGAACAGATAAACAAAATGGGGTGTATACATACAATGAAATATTATTCAGCATTAAAAAGGAAGAAAATTCTGATATATGCTTGAAGACTTTATGCTAAGTGAAATAAGCCAGTCACAGAAGGACAAATAGTGTATAACAGAAACAGATAGTAGAATGGTAGGTACCAGGGGCTGGTGGGAGGGGTTAATGGAGAGTTATTGTTTAATGGGTACAGAGTTTCAGTTCTGCAAGATGAAAAAAGTTCTGTGGATGGATGGTGGTGATGGTTGCACAATGTGAATGTACTTAATGCCCCTGAACTGTACACTTAAAAATAATGAAAATAGTAAGCAATATGTTATGGATATCTTACCACAATTTTAAAAAAAAATTTAAAAAATGAACTCTTCTGCGCATTAAACTATGTTTAATTTAATTGATTAAACAGCCCATCTCACTTTGCGCTGATTATACTGGCTGCTGGAATTTACTGTAATAGCCATCAAGAGGAATCGCTACCCAAAATATTAATACCTCACATTTTAAAAAAAAATCAGTGTTATGCTGGGACTGTGAGCAAAGAGCAATGAGAAACGACCCAGAACCTGCCTGGTCCCAAAATGCAAGGGCTAAAGAGCAGCCCATCTCTTGCTCTCTTATCTATCCCTTCTCCCTCATTGCTCACCACAATGTGAAAGTATGCACAACACCTATGTATAGTTAACTGACCTAGGATTCAGCATCATATCTCCAAATTTTAGAATGGATGATGTGGACAGATTTGAACAACTCATCTCTTGTGCATTTTTCCCAGATATCAGATTTGAATATAATCTCAGTGCATTGTATATATTTTATATATCTGAAATTAGGACCTTACAAATTCAATATGCAAAACACACAAAATGATGTGGAGATTACCAAATAATATTTAAATAAAGACATCTTAGTTCCAGGGAAACTGTGACATAGTGATCTTCCTAGGAGTCCATGAAAATGTCCTTTGATAACTAAATTCCTTTGACAAATTGGGTGTATGTATGGATGTATGCTTTAACTATTTTTTATAGATGTGATTTATCTTATGTACTTTATTTTTATTAATTTTTTCTTTTACTTTTTTGAAATGGAGTCTCGCTCTGTTCACCCAGGCTGAAGTGCAGTGGCACGATCTCGGCTCACTGCAGCTCTGCCTCCCGGGTTCAAGCAATTACCCTGTCTCAGCCTCCTGAGTAGCTGGGACTAAGGGCATGTGCCACCAGGCCCAGCTAATTTTTATATTTTTAGTAGAGATGAGGTTTCACCATGTTGGTCAGGCTGGTCTCAAACTCCTGACTTCAAGTGATCCACCCACCTCAGCCTCCCAAAGTGCTGGGATTACAGGCGTGAGCCACTGAGCTCAGCCTATATTATGTACTTCATATATAAGATGTACAGCATGCCAATCTTTAATGAACTGTGGCTGGATTGAGAGAGTGCAGAGCAATAGGGGAAATTGGACCAAATTGTTGTAGAGAGACTTGACTGCAATTCAGAAAACCAGAATTTTACTCTAATTCTGTTGCGACTAGACTACCTGTATGACCTTAGATTAATTTTTGTTGCTTCCCAGGTTTATTTCCTCTACAGTAAATTAAGTATGTCAAATTTGATTTAATGAGGTGATCTCTACATGCCGCCAACTGCAATAGTCTGAGTTCTATTATCCTATCAAGTTGACTGAGAGAAGCTAGAAAAGATACGTGAACTAAGAAATAACTGGTAAAAGAGAAGGTGAGGGATTCAGTTACTGTGCTTTGGGTTGCAAGTAACAGAATTCCCAACAAGGTATGACTTGAGTAATAGGGGTTTATTATTTCAGATGACAAGAAGTCTAGAAGTGACAGTTTCCAAGGTGGTTAATTAACATCTCACAAATGTCACATCTCTGGGTCAGCTTTTTTAGGATTCTCTTGGCTTCTCTGTTATTGTTGCCACAACTCCAAGCCCCCATCCTCATGAAATAAGATTTAAAAACATGGAGGAACATGAGATTTTCCTCATGAGTTTGTCTCTTTTATTTTTTACAAAAGGAAAATCAATCCCAACAGATTTCTTTTTATGTTCATTTGGTGAATGAGTCACATGCCCGTCCCTAAACCAATCCCTGGCAAAGGAGAATGGAATTATGATGAAAGGGATAGATGAATTATGACTCATGGGCATACGTGTGCCTTATCTGAGCCTATTTTTTGCATGGTATCTGAAAAGAAACCAGAGTTCTGTTAGCAAGTACAAAGAGAAAAGAAAAATATGGAAAATCAAAGTAAAGACCCGAAAAGCTTGAGTTTATAAAAAAATCAGGATGGGAACCAATTAAGAGATTTTATACTTCTAAATGTAGGCACCATGTAATAAAAACATCCACCTCGGATATTACATATATATTTACCTGGCTTGGGATTAGGGTATGGATAGTGTATGTACGTAAAATAACTATCCTGGGCATCCGGGCAGAATTAGTCTTTGGTGGGAAAGAGGTTGGCCCTGATTGTATAAGGACAGTGGGTCTCAGTTTATATAGTTTGTATAAAGAGATTTTCCACTGTGAGGAAAAATAACTGTAAGTGCTTTACGGCATCCTAGAGATAATAGAGAGTGATGGAGTGGAGAGGATGGAGTTACTAGAGCAAAGAGGGGGGTAACATTGTAATCTCAAGCCAAAGTCTAAAGAGGCACCCTGATCTTCAGTCCCTCAGATGGTGCCAGTAGACAAGATGAGCACAGCATTCATTAATCCATCCTTCTGTATGTCCCCAGCAATTCATCAAATAACCTCAGGGTTGAAGAGGCAACTTATCTGAGAGTCCCAAAGGTCATTGCATTTTAAAATCCTGTTTTTAGCCAGTAAAAAGCAGAGTCGTTCATGAATGTGGGAATTTCACAGCCAGGCCCATCACCATAATCTAATAAAACTGTTGTCACTGAAGCACTCTTTAGACTGTGAAGGCTCATATCAAAGTCTTAATTACACTTCTTCATAGTAGTAACATTACATGAAAATGAGGGCATAAGAATACATCAGAAAAGATTTGATTTAATATGGTTAAATCAGATTTAACAGAACTCGGGCATATTCCAGCACATCAGGCACAAAGTCCCTAATCTTTCAGCCACTTTTAAGGAACTCCTAATCTTTCAGCCACTTTTAAGGAACATCTGCATCTTTGTAAAAAATCTGGTAAGATGAGCCAAAAGTTTTAAGAATGGACACAGCCACCTACAAGATAATAGAATTGTTAGGAGAAACCAATTCTCCTTGTTAGATTCTCATAGACTTATAAACGTCTAGGGCCTAAAAATACAGAGTAATTTCTAAGGGCTGGACTTTAGTGGTAACCAATTCCATCATCCTATTAAACAGAACAGTTGGTTATCACCATGAAAGAAGGACAGAATGGTAGAATTGGTTTTAAAGTTTTCTAAACATTCACTTCACAAATAAATGCACAACCATAAAAAGTATTTTATTTTAAAAAGAGTGCATCAGAAAATATATTTCATGTACCTCACTCATTTCATTTCTGAAAGAATGATCTAAGAAAGCGGATAAAATGCATGAATAAAGATTGGATAGGTCCAGATTTGGCTTAGAACAATGCCTTCATCAAGGGGCTATGCTCCTCTAAAAGAACTAGTAAGGCAGAGTTAATAATCTTACATGTTTATCCTGCCAGTAATTGAATATGAGCTATGATCTTATGGAAAGTGGGAAATTTTAAGGTCCTGCCATAGTTATTCTGAAACTAGCATATCAGGAGCCCATTTATCCCATATACTTTCAAGAGTAAGCAACACATGTGAATGTCCTTGGTTGCTCCATATAGGGAGTAGGGAGTTTTCTGACTACAGATGATATTACACATCTCTCAGTTAACTCGGTAATCCACATGCAAAGTCCAGCCCTTAGGGACACTGTCCGGGGGTTTGTAACAGTCTTTGAGAGTCTTTGGTCCTATAACCTAAAGACTGGATTACACTCACCTGTTTGAGATTTTTGAATGAAAAATACAATAGAGATACATGATGCCATTTTCACATGTTTTTTTTTTATGAGAAGATATAAACACAAGAGTAAAAATGATGAACAGAATTCCTCCTGTCAATTGGATATATTCTCCATTTAACCATTTGGAGACACCAAAGCATAAGAAAGGTCATTATTCTAAAATATGGCAGAGTATTTTTATCTGACCAGTAAAGTGTGTTGCTCTGGCTCAAAGTAAGAACTGTGACCCAGCTGAAGGAAAGAGTCACACTTAAAATCTGGTTTGTAATGTGTCTTTCATTTCAGCAAATGACCTCCTTTCTGTCACATATCAAAGAAGCTGTATAGGGTCAACTGACCTCTTCAAAGTGGGCGAGACAAAAGTCGGTGCTGCTACATCGGCAGCAGGGTTTCCAAGTTTGATTCTTTCCCCTAAACTGGGATGGTATAAAGCAGTCCCCAGCCACCTGGGTAGGAGACAGCCCACCCTTTGGGTTTGTGTAAGTCATTTGGGGCCATTTTAATGGCAAAACGTCATGAGTTTTTCAAATTGTTCAAATCAGGATACTTTTGAGGGTGAAAGGAAGTACTGTTAATAATTATGTAAGGACAATAGGCATAAATACAGCTAGTCCTGAGAAAACAGGGGTGTGTGGTCACCCTACTCATATAGAAAAATGAGGTCAGATTTGTAAGGAATGTAAACAAATATGCAAAGTATATCTACTAAAACTGTGCTCTATGGCCATCATATTGTCATAGAAACACAAATGAATTTGCGGATGGAAATCTTTTTCCAAGACAGCACTGGTTGATGTCGTTTGTGTCGTTATCACAGGAGGTGAAAACTATAGACGAGAGAGAGCACTTCCACAAATAGCACAGGAGCTTCTGCTAATAATTATAATGTACGATTACTATGGGGAAAAATGATACTTAAGAAGGACAGAGTGGGTTAGGAGGTGTGCATTTGCCGCCTTTCATTTTGGTCACTTGTTCTTTTTTTGATGGCTACCAGCACAGAGGAGGAAAAAGAATCTGTCTGAAGCAAGAGACTCCATCCTCACTCCAGCTGTGAGTCTCTGGTGGGAAGGAAAGCTACTCAAACTCTCCCAGTGAAACAGAACATGATTGTGGGGCTGCCACCAGAGCTATTTCAGTAAGCTCATATTTTTATAACCAAAACCACTTCCAACAAAAAAGAAGTCCAGGAGTTAATTTTTGTTTTAAGACTTTTAAGTGTAAAGCTAATACTAATTGAGAAATCTATTTAGCAAATATTTGCGGGGGAAACTACCACACCATTTTTTACTGTTGTTGTTGTTGTTGAAATGTTTCCCACTCCTCACCCCCTCAAAAAAAGGGGGTGTGGGTGTGGGGACAGAACAGAGGAAAGGAGAAAAGTGGCTTCAGCTCAGTGGAACACTAAAAAATGCACATGAATCAATTATGAAAAAGAGAAGGTCCCTTTGAATGACGAAAAGCTGATTGGAATTAAGATAGGCTTTGTTCCTATCTGGAAGGTACAAGGAGGGGACTTTTCAGCGGAACAGAAAAGGGGGATTTGGGACTGTTTGGCTGCTTAATGCCATAGTGCTTCAGAGCCCATGTGAAAATTTGCTGCTGGCTATTAATCATCATTGTGCCCCTGCAAAGAAGCTGTTACAATGATGACTATATGTCATTATATTCCCACTGTAAGTAACGAATCAGAGAGCTGGGAAAGTTGGATAAGAGCGGCTGGCAAACTTTTAAGCGGTCGAATCTATTTAAATAAATTTACATCACATTTGCTACTTTCTCTGGTATGGGAATCATACTTTAAAATGAAACAATATGCTGTGTTCATGGGGCCTGGTCTTTTATTCCCCTGTCTCTGAGCCTACTTTCCAGGTCAGCCTTTGCCGGCGCTGACAGCACGCTTTTCTCATAGCCTCTCCTTCTCATAGCCTTTGGTTGCTTTCAAGTTCAATTTAGCACAATAAAGTTGTTATGCATGACAGTTTGGAGAGCAGAATAGGTGGTGTCTGAGCCCGCTGTGTCGCTACAAAGTGGGCCCATTCTCTGTGGGCCGGCTCAGTTACTGGAGCCTTACTGGTGGGATACAGCCATGGACTTCCAGACGTTCCCATCCTGACGAAAACAATTAGCTTCAAACTGCACGAAGCCGCGGGGTCAGCCTCTCTTTGACTGAGACTGCGCCATTTAATATGCTGCAGTGGATTTCAAATTTATGTTGATTTATCCTGTTGTGTTCCTCTTTTATGCACTTTATTTACAGATGTGTAAAGAACAGGGAAAGTTAGAGTACCCCATGCTTCAAGAGTTTTATTCGAAATCTAAACCATTGTTTTATGTTTATTTTATCAAGAAATAGAGTTGAAACATGTCAGGCTTAATTCCATTAGGCTGAACTGCCCAGAACAGAGCCCTGGGGTTTGGAAGACAGAATCTGAAAGGAAGTGTCTCCTTAGCTAAGCATCATCAAGAAGCCAAACAACAAACAACCTCAAAACACCACTGTTGTCAGGGTAGTTTTCTATTGTGGGAGACTATCCCTCCAAAATCCCACTCTGACCTAAAAGTGACAGATCTTTTAATAAAACCAAACCGTAATTTTTCAACCATTACAAGCCACCATGTATATCTGTGTATGTGCATACGGCTGTATCAGATCAATTAGTGTTTAGTATTCATTGACGTCCACCCAAGTGCTTACTGTCTTTAGAAATATGATACAAAATTCTGCTGCCAGAAAACAAATATTATTCGATTTTGATGCTGCAGAATTGTCCTCATGCAGAGAATGTAACATCTTCTCTTGTCCTCTGAAGAGAATCCTGTAACAAAGCAAATTTAGGTGTACTTTCAATTTTACCATCAGAGTAGTCCACGCCAGATGTCTTCAGTCTCTTAGGTCTCCTGGTAAAATAAATCACAGTTGTCTTGATTACTGATCTCACTAATTATAGGGTACAATCGTCAAATAAGCCCCCTTCTAGATTATAAATTAACTGAAAGCATATCTTAAAAGCATATTTCACTTTCCTAAAAGAGTTTATTATCTTTCTGTTAGCTATTTGTATTAAATATCTTTTTAACCAACCCTGCCACATAATATTTGCTTTAACTGTGTAATAGTACAGAATAGTAAAAAAAATAAAAATTATAACATGGAGAGAATTTCCCTGCAATAATTTTATCTTATAAAATTTAATATACTTGCAAAATATTTTTATCCAAATTACATCATTAAAAGGAGAAATCTATATCTAGTTTCAGCAAAGTTTCAGAAGGGAAGTCATTTGTTTGCCTTGGTCATCTCTCTCCTTCTGTTATTATATGAATATTATTTGGTGACATTTTTAGTAAGGCATTTTTTAAAGTCCTCATTTTAAATGGTTCCTGAAAATACAGCTGGACAAAGAAAAATTGCATTATGAGAGACTGTAAATGTGTCTGTGACAAAAGCACTATATCCTTTCTACTTTTCAGAGGGGATAATTTCTTTGCCATTCAAATGAGTGAATACTCCAAAAATTGACCAAGCTATTTAACTGATAATATGCACTTAAACAGTCTTTTATTTTTCTTGAAGAAATATATCAGAAGCATACCAAAAATTTCTCCATGCAAAAGTCATGCAAACAGAGGATGGTGAGCTGTTAGTCTGGAGGGTACACCTGGAAGTTTATACACACATGGACACACACACACACACACACACACACACACACACAGCACATGTGCAGAAGGCCTGTATGGTACAGGCTATAAAACTTAGCATATATCTCTTCATCTGGAATCTCCAGTAGAAATACAGGGTAACTTACCATAAGAGTTTGTTTCCTCATCTCCAAAGCAATTTCCTAGAAAAAAAATTGTTAAATTAATGAAAAGATATAAAAGAGTTTTGGAAGAAAGCTTGACAGATTATATAACATATCATAAGGATTTTACAGAACATTTAGAGAGACCCTGAATTTTGGACTGACAGATTTATATTCATACTCCCTGAGGAAAAAAAATACAGAAGAAACAATTGTGAATTGGTAGATCACTGTTACTCATTAGTGGAGCTACTTTTATTAAACTGATGTGAAAATGTCTGATATGGGAGAAGTTTGATATGGAAGATGATAGATCTTCAATGTTCTCTAGGAGCAAAGGAAAGAGGAAGAGAAAGAAAGGCAAAATGGAAGCTCATTCCAGGGAGTGAATTTGAAGTGAGGCAATATAAAGGTGAAAGAGAGAGAAGGTACTATTCATCATAAATGGCATCAACAATGTTAGCTAAATTTTACCAAGGTCTTTTAAGTCCTTTGGCTGAAACAGGTATTCAGGACAGTATAGGCTTTAGGAGAATATGGTATTTGGTTTAACTTGCAGCATTACCATTTACTTGCTTTATGGCCTCAGGTAAAAATTTAAAGATCCAGAAGCTTCTCTTTGCCCATCAGTAGAATGGAGTAATAATAATTTCAAAATATATAGGGTTGTTGCAGAGGAAAAACAACATAGGTAAAGTGCCAGACACAATAACTGGAATGTATCCTTTAAATATTAATTTCCTTTACCTTCTCAATATTTTCATATACCTCTTGCAATTCTCATCCTCAAATTTCTCTGTTGGTCAAAATTGAGTCAAATCTCCTGACATAAAATCTCTTAGAAAAAGAGACATTCTTAGTAACAAACCTTACTATAATGGATTCCAGATGGTTTAGACCTGACAAAAACTATGACCACATAACTAGTTTTTATTTTGTTGTGGTTAGCCTTTGCTCATGCTAGCCTGATCACTGAAGAAAACTAATGAAGACCTGAAGAAAGGTTGCTCATATTGTGGCAACAGTATCTTCCCTTATGTAGACATGAGTCTAAAGAGACATTTTCATAACTACACAATAATCTCCACAAAAAGTCTCCCAGGGGCTTAGTTGGAAATCTGGTATGTCAAAAGTAAAGAGAACTTTGACATTATAAAAAAAAAGAATTCTGCTTAGCAGTTAGTCCTGATGCCCCAAAATAGTATGCTTTGGAGGAATAACGCTTACTTGGTCATGAAAAAATGAGTGAATTCACTGACATAACACTCATTTATTTATTAAAGACAAGTCCTCAGAGGTAGAGAATCATGTTTCCCAAGTAATAAGCTTATTCTTGTGAAACAGTCATGGAACCATGGATAAGTGTGATAGTGGGGGTTGACCTCTTCTTATTTGGTGATTGAACTTTGCTTCACCAATCTTACACTTGAAAGTATTTGGCAAAACTCAACTCAGGGCAAACATTCAGAATGTGTTCTACCTCTACTTATTATATAGCATATATTTTCCAGCTACTAGCAATGATCTTGACCAGGTGATTGGTCAAAATTATTTTTTCTAGTATACAGCCACTTAATTGAATTCTTACATTAATGATAACCTTATTTTAGACAGTGAAATGTATTTTACAGAATTACATAGCTAATGTAATTAAATATTGTATCAGCCTGCAGAAAAAGACTCAACTCTATGTTGGAAACGCTACATAGAATGGAAGCATGATGAACATTTTTTACCACATACAGTACACAGTCATATTGGTCCTTTTATCCAAAGTCTGTTACTTTTAATGTCAGTTGATTACATTTCTTAATGAAATGCTTTCAGCGTACTTAAAATATGCAAAATATGAAAAAGCCTTCTGACTTGACTTTTAAACCCATCTTTCTTTGCAACTACTGGTAGAAAACCAAGAAGAGATTAGCTGTATTCTATTTCTGCCTGTTTCCCCGTATTTAAACTATCATAGGACATACTTTCTTATATCTTATCATCAGTTAGGTGATTTTTTTCAAGACCTGTAAATACTGAATTAAACATATGCATGTTAAATCAGTCATTTGTGCAACACAGTATCTTTAAACTTTTTTTTGTTTTTATGGGCAAGCTGTTAATAAAGAGACATATGTGCTGTGTTTTATATATCCACATACTTTACTACCATTTTTTTAGATAAGCATCATAACTTAAGTTGTCTTCCACACAAAGTTCTGGCAAGCTTCAATAGATTCATTAGTGGGTTTTTCTTTACAACCAACGAAGCTCAAAGAGCTCCTAACAATGGAGCTAATCACTGCCTCTTCCCTGACCCAAGCTTAGGTTTTCCCTCCTTTCACTTCAGACTCTTATTTCATTTCTGAGCAATTGGATTTCCGTGGCACTCCCAGAACAAATAAATATCTCCTTTTTCCCCCCGCTTACATCTTTTGTGTATATTTTTTCTATACGACTGCCCGTATTTAAACTAGTATGGTAATGGCTGGGTTCTTCAGGTAATCTTTCATTGGACATAAATGGTGTAGCATTAAAATGCAGATAATGTTACCTCAATTAGAGAATGCTGTGCAAAACTTGAAAAAGACGTAGCTAAATGTTTGGACTAAACAAGTAAGTCTATGTTGTTAAGAGTGGGGCTGAGCAAGTTGCATTTTCAATAGATCCTTTAATGAATAAATGTTAGACTGTATCAACAGTCTTGAACAGGCTTGTGGTTTGTGTGTGCATGAAGTGTAATGGTATCAATTGACTGGCTCTTTGTGGTTGCTATAAAGTACTCTTGAATGTGTCAATGGAGAGAAGGCCTGCAGACAATGAAGCCATGACAGCTGAATGTCAGCAGTGACCTTGAACCTAAACTGGTTTCACCATTCCAGTGACTCCAGCTACAGTGAAGACATGCACTGGAGCCGGACCTTCGGCATTGCCTGTCATTTTCTGTGTTCAGATTCCAAGCACTTAAGTGACAATTTCACCACATTGCTAGACCCTGCTAATATGCATCAGTGAACGTTCACTTATTAGTGATGGGGCTAAAGATATGTTCAGCATTTTAATCAGACTTGCATTGGCATTTAAAAATACAAAACACAAAGCAAAACAAGGCATCATTCTAGACTTAATGTTTTATGTAAGCAAACTCATCCAAAGAAGATACCCAAAACATGTCTTTTCTGCAGCACTGAATTCTTTGATATCGATCTTGCATTGCATAACATTACTGCACATACATTACTACACTCTTTATTGCTGCAAATAGCACATGATTAGTTAATTAAAATATGGCATCAAGGAATAATTAATATTTGTAATGCAGTGTTTCTTTAATGAAAAACAAGAGAATTCTTCTAAAGGTCACATTTACAGATTAAATGTGTCTTTAACATAAATGGAATGTTATTAAGCTAGGCTCAATATTCAGGAGAGAACTGCAAAGCCTTTTGTGGCAAAACACTATTAATGAATTCAGGAAACTGAATCCCTTTGCTAATGCTGGAGTTGAGCAAGGTTAGAAGCCCAACCACAACTGAATGTTCTTAATATGTTCAATGTACTCTGCAGTGAAGAACTGAGGGCAGGGAAAGAAGGGAATTGGGTGGAGGGGGGAAATAAGAAAACAGAAAAGAAAAGGAAGATAGAGAAAAGCAGAGAGAGAAAGAGAGATATAGTAAAAAGAGAAAAGAATTTTGTTGATGAGAAACATCTAACTATGGTCATGCAGAAAAGAGCAGGAATACTGAATATTGGCATGCAGGTATTGTAGGAAGAATTGTTTTGGTGTTAAAATGTTATTAAAATTATAACACTGTAAGCTGATTACAATTCATTCTAAGAAAAATGTAACATTTTCTTAAAAATGAGCAATATAAAGAAAAATAATAATTTCACAATTATGAAATTTATAAATGCAAATTTGTTATTATAATGTCATTGTGGATTGATATGAGGTATGATATAGACGCTTCATTTAACTAACACATCTGTGAGTCCTAATCATTAATAAAAACTATTGTGTGATATATTATTTTTTGAAGTAAATAAAAGTTGGACACTACCATCCTCTTGTTTCTCAGTGGTTATCTCAAGTTCTTATATAATAAATAGTTAACTATCTGATTACATTTGTTCTTATAAGTCCTTTAAAACATACAGAGGAGAAAAAAATGTTTGAAGCGTATATCTGTGCTTTTTAATTGAAATAGCTGAATGCTGGCAAAGATTTTTCCATACATTTCTAAAAAGATAAGGTCACATATTTTAAAACATAGGAAAGTTTCTTAAATATAAACATGCTACTCAGAGAAATGCTTATTGTCCAGAAAATACTGGACATAAAATTTACTATTTATTTAGTATAATAATTACTCTAAGTGTATTTTATCAGACTATGCGGTACTATAGAAATAAAGATATATTACCATGATTCCACATTTTATTTAAAATAATTATTATGTGAAAATCATGTTAAAAAGATTATTAAACTACCAAAAAAAAACCTAGTGAACACTAAAACAGATATTCCAATAATGACCTAACATTATTAACTTTCTTAGGGAAAAAAATAGACAAAATTAAATTTAGCTTATAATGAGGTTCTTTGAGGCCTTAAAATCAAAGTGCAATGAGGAAAATAAATAGTGAAATAAAAATATTTTCTTGCATGAATTTTTATGTCTGTGTTTCATAGAAAACCCTTTGATTAATAGAGTCAAAGATAATTCTTTCTGATCTTTATAGATGCATTTGCAAATTTGAACATTCAATGTATACTTTTTACATAAGCATTATCACTTATAAGAGGGCTGATAGCATCAGTTGGCAGCTATAAAAATTATTTTCCTCATATGTTTATTTTTAGTTTAAGGTGACCCCATAATGTTATAATTTTTCTAATCCACAGGTTTTATACCAGAAAAAAAATTAGCATCACCCAGTTTTATTTTGAATCACTGAGATTTATGTGAATTATATTTACTAGAAAAATATCATTTAGAAACTTTTCATATTTATATTGGAACTTAAAATGTATATAGAGGCATAGTTTTTATGAATACCAGAGAATAAAAGACCTCTACAGATGCCACCATTCATTATGAAGTGGCATCTCTGCAAACTCCTGTTGGTATCATACTTTAAATGGCCTCTTCACTCTGCTATATGGAAGAACTTCCAAGGAGACAAGCTCCAAATCTTGAAAAAGTTGATGGTTGGAATGAACAACTATTTTTCTGTTACAGTTATTCTTAAGTAGGATGGTAATTCTCAATTAATCTCCTGTGCATATACGGGTTATGGAATTTAAGTTTAAATACAAAAGTAGTCAGAAATGAAATTCAGGTTAACAGGTCAACACAATGCCTACAGCTCAGCTACACATTTTTGTTGGCCTACTTCAGCAATCTTGATTAAATCTAACATAGGTGGTAATGTCTGGAAATACATTCTTCTTCACGAAATAGTTAAAGAGTATACTTAGTAAACACCTGGCTATGTCTTTTAAGAAAATATTCTGAATAAATGCTTTTGTTAATTAAGAAATGAGAGATCATTCTATGAATAAATGTCTGACTATGATAGAATTTGTGGTGGAAAAAGTTGTGCAAGAAGCATGTATTGATATGGGTTTGTTCTTGTACTTTAAGGTACATTCCATGAAGATCTATGCCAAGTAGTTCTTCTTCAACACTTATGAACCTGTATGTTCATATTGATCTATCGTTTCAGAGTATCCTTCACTCTTAAAATCCCTTAAACTTTTTATGTAAAAAAATAATAATAAAAGGGTGGGGGTGAACTCAGAATTACTTATTTTCAAATTTCAGTGACTTATATATTAAATTTATTTATGTATTCATTTATTTGTGTATTCATTCAGCAAATATGTATTTAGTTTATTACGTGCAAGGTTCTATGTTAAAAAGAAAAAATACGAATGGATTTCTGTGTTATCTTTCATTCTTTTTGTCTGTTTTTAAGCACCTAGTTTTTCCAAATCTTGTCTAAGTTGCAGCTATCAGGAAAGACTCAAACCAGTTTCACGTGATTTGGCTAAATGTGGAACCTTGATCACAGAACCAAGCAGAAGCCCAACAGAGGGCCTTGTCACTTTTCACAGATGATGAAGGGGCTCTGTGCGCCTGCCCCCATGCACCTCTCAGGGAAAACAACAGTTCTTAGAGAACCACTCAGCTCTTAATCTGTCCTGGACTCTATCTACACATTGAAATTTAGATACAGTCACTAATCTGGGGAATCTCTCATTTTTCAGACACAGTACTAGCAAATTTGTCATATGATATTTTATGTAATCTTTAGAGTCTCCGTGTAAGGAAGAAATATCTGAGATGCAATAAGATGAGGTGATTAACTCCATGTAAGGAGAAGCTGTAATTCTATTTCAGATCTCTTTATTCCATAGCCAGCCCTCTCAGGGATCCCACATGTGTAGTAGTATCGATACTGAGTAAAAATGTTAGTCAAACTAGAAATTGCCTGAAAAGATTTTTTTAACCTGTATGTAGACACCTACTGAAAAGAGAGTAAGCAAAGATACACAGATCCAGTACCTATAAGCGTGGGCTCAGACTGAAAGAATTCTGACACCCTCCACCTTCAGTCAATTTTCCCTCCAAGAAAACTATGCTTTTCATCACTGCCATAATAGTGAAGACCAGGAATGATTCTTGGTGGGATTGTGCCTCTAATTTTACCAAAGCTTGAGGTTATGATGCTGTAGCAGACACTGGGTTGCTACTTGGCCCAGCCATGGTTCCATTCCTATATATGTTCCCTTTCCCTCTATATACCAGTCCTACACTACTAGAGACCACGGGGTAGGTGAGAGAAATGAAACAAGTTCATTCTCCTTAGAGCCCTGATCAACAATGTCTTCTCTCTCAAAAAAATAAAGAACAACTCAAAAGCAATTTATCCTGTGCCCAAATAGTCAATATTATTAGATTTTCAATTTTTTTAGTCACATTTAAATTTTTCTGTCATTACCTAACAAAATTTTTCAACACTTAAAGAAAAGTTCATTCTTTGTATTGTAGCTAATGTTTTACATAATATCAAATAATTTTAAAGGAAAATTTAATTAAATTCAGGGTGAATACTTCCTAATCTAAATAAAAGTATATTTTTATTTTTATTCACTGAAGTTATAAATATGAACAAATTAACATTAAACTTTATAAAACATAAATGTTTTTTAAAATAATATTCTATAACCCAAAATAGGTACCGTCAATTAAATGCATGTGATATTAATATTCATAGCTCTATCTGCTCTCACCTAAACTGCACATTCAATCCAGCAATATATTTTCAAACAGAAAATTTACTTGCATTCATTTTGTCAGAAGAATATATGTCATATTTACATGTGTTCCAATACAATTAATGTTTTCATCAAATTTTGCTTTGGGAATTTTTCTTCTCATATGAACTTATTTTACTCTCCTCAATCATACTGTTGTTTTAAAATGATCCAGATAAACATGTATATTTTTACAGTGTTATACTCAAGATACAAGTTATTCCAGAGGTAAAGATTCTCTTGTAAATATTCTAGCTTCATGTTTTGTCCTGCTAGTACATAATTGACATTCACTAACATTGGTTGGACAGTTTTAGAAACGAATGTTATAGTGTAGTCACATTAATGCTGAAGTAATTACTAATAAAATCCTAAAAAGGAGTTCTGTTGTTCAGAACGAAAAATGCAGTTTCATTTTACTTGTTATCACAAAGTTATATTAATACTATTGTATAGCTAAGCACATTTGGAGACACCATGCAAATCTACCTGTCATGTTTAATTATAAACTACTGAGGACACTGCCAGTAAAATTAACAAATAAATATAGCAATATTCAGTATTTAACTGCTCTTGTTCTAAAAGCATGGAAATTGTCACTTATAAATACCAAGTGTCATTTAAATAATTAATCAATGAATTCATTGTAACAAATTATCTGAGAAGTGTTTGTGATGAGGTCAGCTCCCTACGACATGACCCCATATTTTAAGATGTAGTCATGTACTCAAAATGGTGACATCCATGATTTCAGAGTACTGAGAAGAATGTAGACTAGGAAATATGAAATACTTCTAAGTATTTCAGGGCCACTGTTGTTTGGATATGTATATGCCATGGACCAAATAATGTCACACAAACATTGTAACCACAAAGAGCAAAAAAGTCAGTGGAACTCTAGAATATAACACTGATTTGGTGGTATCTTCAGATACCAACAGAATAAAAGGGATTCACTTCTATCATACTGAAAACACTGGTTTTCTTTAGGCTATATAAAGAAAAAAAAAAGAAGAAGGACTCATTCATATTAGGCCAATGTAAATTCAAGTAATATCCCTTAAAAATTAAGGGATAATACAGAAGTTATATCTGAGATGTGGAGTCTTGCCTTGTATGAAATGATAAGCTTTACTTATACAGTACAAAACCTAGTTTATAATGTTTTTCTTCATCATCATAATGTGACTATAGGTGTAAATTTACCTTGGGTTAATGCAGTTTATATAAAACGACTTGGCTTTCAGCTATTTCTGTAGTATAGTTTATTTTCAGTGCCTTTCTCATTAAAAAAGTATTACATTTAGTAATTAGGCCACATTATGCTTGGGTATATATCTTTTCATATGTCTACAGGAAGAAATTTCTGGAAAGTTTCTATCTGAAATAAAACCTAGCTGTCCATATTCCTATGTATTCCAGCATAGGCAAGGATCTCCTCACTGAGCTTACCTCTAAACTGAGTGAGAATTTGTAAAAATCATATATTTCAATCCCAGTACAGGTGTTGTACATTCCTCTCTTCATAGCCTACCATAATTAGCCTGTCTTCTTTCAACATAGAGCTAAAGTTTAAGAGCCACAGATACATTATGAACCTTTCTTGGGTAGGCCTTACACACACAAAGTATAGAATAGAAAGTACATTATCCCATTAAAGTGTTCTTGTTTCCTTTGGAATAATATCATTTAGAATGCACCTTAGCATATTAAGTGGTTGACAGATAGCATAAACAAAAATAGGTTTTACATTGCAGCTGTACACAATACACCTTTGTACAGTTGACTGATTGCTTACAACAATAAAAAATAATGGTAGCATTCTGCTGTCAAACTTTCTGGGTAGTTTATAGCGAACTTCAAAAATATGGTTCCTTTTCTGCAAATGCAATTAATTTGAAGATAAAAGTAATGTGGTGCCATGAAACATAAATGTTTCACCCCAAAGAAGAGATTGTTATCCCATAACAATAGATAAAGTTTCACATCCCAATTTTTCGAAAGAAAGCAATAGTACCACTTAAGTATGCAAGGAAATGCTTTATGTGGCGACGAGTACAATATTATTAATATAAAAAAGAGAAAAGTATTTATTTACCAATTTTGACTGTTGTCATGGACATCACTGTTTCAAATGGCATTTTTGACAAAACAATTTGCTGGCTAATAGTTGCAGGAGAACTGAAAGATTTTTTTTTTCCCTGTGTATTTACAATATAAAAAATGCATCCTCAATGTAACTTTTCTGCTTAAGAGGAAAAAGAATGAGTTCTGTAAAACAACCCTTCCAGTGCAGTTTCTATAAGAACAAATGAATGCAAGTGTTCACGAGGCCTAATCTTCCCTTTTGTATTTGTTTCTTCATTAAGCTCTAACTATGCTCTAGCTCTTGTACCCTGAAGATTTGATGTGAAGATGGTATGACAGGCTTGGCTTCTCCCGATGCAGCTGGCACTCCTGATGCCAAAAGCCAGAGCTTGTGGTAGTGGGATCAGGAGAGAGTCGTTCCCAGCACAGTTTGCCTGTCAGTTTCCCATGCGCCTCGCAGTGCAGCGCTCCCTCCCCAAGTCCCCTTAATGAGAAGTGGAGGACAATACCAGTATTGTTGTTTCTACTCACAATCTTGTGGAAAGAACAATCGCTGTTTACCCAAGCATTTGTATTACCCAAACTCTGCCGATAATTACTTCTAGAGTCCCTGATTAACTCTGCTCTCTGCCTCAGCACAAAAAAGCTATTGAGATAGACACCAGACAACTTTTCTATCTCTTAGAGCCTTTTAACAGTTTACTGAATATGACTCAGTCCTCATACTTATTAGAAGAAATGTACCTACGTGATTTGCACTCAGCTCATCGGAGCTTGCTAACCATATAAGTCGCACAGGTGTACTTTGGAAGGCTTAAAAATTCCCCATCACCCTCCCTTCTCCCCTGTCTCTCAAAAAAGTTAAAAAGCTCTGTCTCCTTTCAGTTGCTGTGTCCCTGTACCTAGGAGTCTATGATAAATGCAAGCACATTTCAAGTAACAATGATATTTCTAGTCAGTTTTTTGCTGTTAACTTTTTATAGTAAAATATGTAGGAGAAAAATTTCTAGTTATTTAATTACTATGAGATTTTATGATATGCTTTTGTTTTCTAAGACCTAACAAAATGGAACTGTTGCTATGTCTATTTCAATGATATTGGTAATAATTTTAATCTGTCACATCACTTCCACCCCCCTTCACGTCCCACCTCACATGCAGTCTGCTGTTAGCACTATGCAAAACACCATCATGAATATGCGTAATTATGGAGATTCATGGTAATTTTTCAGGGTTATCCGATGTGACGTTTATAGGACAGCAGCATACATCAATTTAAATGAGTGTGACAAATATCTTATCCTTTATATTTCTATAGTATTTTTAATATTTTCTTGGCCCCTCTCCAGGGAGTAGTGTGAAATGGTAAGAACTTGAATAATAAAAATGTTAAACAATCAAATGCTTCACTACAATGTTTTTTAAAGGCAAGTTTAAAAATGATTCTCTACCTGTTGAAGCTTAAAAAGTATCATATACTGAATTTTTTCTTAGGCAGTACTTTTTATTGAGCATCTTACACATTTCCAAACCAACAAAAGCATGGACATTTGCAGGTGCCATTTTACGATGAGGCTGAATTGCTTAATTACTTTTAAACTATGACCGCTTGCCTGACAAAATTATTTGGCAAACATGGTCCACCAACTTTATTAAGCATAAGCATTTGAAACAATAATCTAATTGTGGTATTTTTGAATTTTGTTCTTAGTCTGTAGCACCTCTTAGAGACTTGCATATAATCTTTATCTCAGTGACTAATTAGGACTAGCTTGACAATTTCATATTTACAATGATTACCAAGTAGGAATCCTCTTCCTTGTTCAGTATGTTTGTCATGAATACTGTACAATCCTAATTACATTGAAGATATAAAGAGCCCCATAATTTGATTGAGAGACATCTTGAGTTTAAAGTGAGTAAATGTGAATTGTATCGAGAATTTTAAATGGCAGAGCAATTAATACCTATTTCTCATGCAGTCACTAAAAAGACGAAATAACTGTGTGCATGCAAGTCATTGTATCAGCCATATTTTTAAGGGTGTTAACAATAAAGTCATTAAAAACTGGCTTGATTGAAAATGATCTTCCTCATTCCAACCAACTGAATTCAGAATTCCTTTTTCTCTAGCATATACTTTCAGGATTTCGGGCTGAGGGTCAAACCTTCGCAATTAAATGTTCCTCAGTACTATATTGGCAACACACCATCGTGAATACTCTTCATACAATTAGCAGGGCCTACTGTGGAAGTATACTGCTGATAGAAATAATAATGAGGAATACTGGGGCATTAGTATGCCAGAGTAGGTTGGAGAAACCTAGTTTGCATGATGCATGTATAATTGTATGTTACATCTAAATATCACTGTATGTTGCTTTAGAAATAATTGCTTAGAAAAATATATTTAACACTTCCTCTCTTTTAAGGTCCCAATTTGATTAATAAACAAGTTCAGTGGTATATTAAGCCTATAAGTTAGCGATGTCTCAATGAATGTGTTCTGCATTTGCATGTTTCTTAAAGTGACACTTTCTGAAGACACACGATTGCCATGTCTATATACATGTATAAAGAGAAGTGAAGAATTGATGCAATCATCCAGATAATTCAAGGGAAAAACACTTTTGCCTCAATTATCTATTGCAAGCAAAAGTGAGGGGTTTATCCTGAATTGTTCAAATAATTGCCTTGATTCTCTTCACTTTGCATGTGTAGACACATTTTACAATAATATTTATGTTAACATTTGCAATTTACATACATATAAGGCAGAAATACTTCTATACACAAGATGACCAAAATCTTTTCACAATAATTTCTACTGTTTGGTTGTCCCTAATTTTTGGTACAGTCAGATCATTTGTGTGCATGTTCTTATATGGTAATTGAATCAAGGCAAAACTAGACAGACTCATTATGTTCATTTATTAAATGCTTGGTTAATAAACTGATTGGTATATACAATACTGATATCTCACCATTAAAAAATTCATTGATATATTCTATCTAAAACTTCAATAATATATACTTCTTACTGGGTATATCATAAATTCATTTGAGGAAGTAAATGTGATTCATATGTATATTTATAATAAAATGCAACATTAAAACAAAGACAAATTTCCAAGAAATATATCTTATATTTTACATATTTAAGATTTGTTATGAATAAGTTAATATTCATAAAGAAATCAATACCAGAACACATTTTCAAAAGTTCCATTGACACATTAAAAATTCAAATACATAGCAGATTTTATAGTGTTTCCTCCATCTGCACTGACAGGAACAATAATATGTTTAATTACTGACATTTGTATTATTTTTACCTTACGTTTATTAAATATATAAAGTATATTTTCCATGACTTTTAAAATCTATACTGTTTATTAATACATGAGGAATCCTAAATTTCTTCTGGGCCTGCTTAATCACTATTTGAAGTCTTTATTCTGGTCCACATCAAAAATGCATTTTAGAAAATGTAAAGCAGCTCTATCATGCTTCTTCATATTGGTAGCATGTCAAAATATGTTTTGTTTGAACTTTAGAAATTAAATCTTGGTTTAGTTAAAATATTGCCAAAGTATTGGATTATAAGTGTTTGTCTGGACAAACAATTAATACCTAAATGTTGAAAGACACCAGAATACTTTATGGACCTATTTGGCAATGGAAATGAACTATCTATGTTATAAATTTAGTAGATAGGGCTCATATGTAGCATTCATTTATAATTTTCATGTTTTATATAAAAGTACGTAATGGATGCTTACAGTACAACCAAAATCTTCTCTGTGCTCATAAAAACACATAAAGCAGATGCAAAATTAAGCATTTTGGAGTATTTTACCGCTCCAATATTGTTTTAATTTGTTCTAAAAATCAAGTGTCTGTCTCTGAATTTTATTTATGAAAAATCAACTTCCAGAATTAAATGAATACATTTTATAAACACTGCAAGCATGGGGGCTTGATAGATATTTTTCTTCAAAATTGTTAAAGAGCAAAATATAATAATTTGGTGGCAAACATCTGTCTGGCAATCATATATGATAAATTCATAAGAAATACAGGAAAGATATTTATTTACTGTTACTGCTAAGCCAGACTTTATTTATCTTAGAAGATTTTTCATCTATGAGTGGAAAACAAACTTTCCTTCAAGAGGTCTGTGAACCGAATAATAAATGTCAGGTCTAAATCCTGTATGAAAATCAGTCCGGTTTAATCCTGGATATTCTTCAGCATGCAAATGAAGACTAGAGGTTTCCCTGGGCCCGCTGTCATACAGGCAGCCAATTTACAGACCCTGGCACTGTGTATGTGTTATGGGCTCGCTGGCTGCCCCTCCCCCGCAGCCTAAGACTTGGTCTCAGCTGCCTGCCTTTCACAGAAAACCACAAACCAAGGAAACATATCAGTAATAGCGCCCTGTAAATTAACTTGACATTTGATGCAGAAAAAAACCTAAAAGCTTACAAAAGACATTGAAAACAAAAGCCACTCAGGACCCACACTACATATATTGTGGATTTAAGAGATCTGGAAGGTGGTTATTCTATTGTAACTAACACATACAGCCTTCATCTTCTTTGTTAAGACAATTCAGTCATTCTTTGTTACAGGCATAGTATCCGTCAAACAAGAAAACAATATTTTCCACCAAAAAAAACCCCTAAAAGTCCAACTGATATTATAATAATAATTCAATCAATAGGTTTTTTTACATTTTAAAAATAGCCATACATTACTAATGTTTAAAGAAAAGAAGCTAAAATATGATTTTATGTTTCCTTGGTAAATAAGACATGTTGACATTGCTAAGATGTAAATAATGTAAGATGCATTGGAGAATGGTGTGAATCTTGCTGAACATGAGGTATTCACAAATATTGTTTTGTCTTAAAATTTTGCCTTTCAAGGCATTTAATTTTTTTCATGCTAGGAAACCCCTGAATCTCTTTTAAAAGAAAAAAAATTTTTTTGGTTCAAAGAAGGACTGTTGATAAAATATTAAATGGTTCTTTGACATCATCTGTGGTGTGGGGCTGGAGTGAGGCACTCAGCATATTTAAGCCATTAGACATGCAGGAATGTTAACATTATTATGCGTTATTGTGTCTGGCTATGTGTCCCCCTCCTTATTCTCAATCTCTCTCTCTCTGCCTCTCACTCATTTTCCCTCCCTTCTTCCCTCCGCCCCACCTTTCTCAGAGTCTCTCCTACCTCTCCCGCCCTCAGCAGGGCCTGCTACACGGCATCTTACAAATGTCTGGTCTTATAGTTTACAAGCACAGAACTGTACTGGTAAAAATGCATAATCTCAGCATCTGTGCTTCTTGATATTCATGGATTTATTTACAAGTCCCTGTGTTCTACTTTTTTTTTGCCTGTTTCTATGGTTTATATTACTGTCATGCCTATATTCTTGTGGGAGTTTCAAATAAGAATCAAGATATAACTGGCAAATATTCTGTAATGCAGACTGCATTTCCATAATTTAGCTGTTTTTTAAAAGAGACAATTTAAAGAGGTTTATGGACTTAAGGATATATGAAGAGTATTTTGATTGGCTTTTTTAGTACTTCAACTGCTTAAGGTTCCGTTTGTGCAAAATGGATGTAATAAAATAAATTTATGAACATATATGTGCTTGTGTATATGTAAATGCATTTAGAATGAAAAAGTTCATAAATCTAAGTCAAATTTGCTGATTAAGTTCACTATATTCACATTTGGCAACATTAGGATATTTCACGAAAGGGTTCAAAGGTAAAAGGCAAATATTTTATTTCTTCTTTAGATGCTAGCCTGCAAAAAACTTAAATATTTACAAAGCAAGTATTCAAGTTCCTGTGTTCCCCCAGCCCTCAACATACATACCCCTCCCATTCTTGGTGCTAGTTTAACAGCAGCCTTTTAGTAGCCATTGCCAGTGCCAAATAAGTCTCTTTTTCCTTTTTTTCAAGCTGTAAAAACAGTCTTTTGAATAATTTAATTAACAGCAAAATCAGAAATTTAACTTACTTTACAATAATTCTCTAACCATTTCCCATCTACCCACTCCCCTTCCCCGCATAGAATTCTACCTTCATATTATCAATGCACTTATTTTTAGGGATTAATATTCACTAGTTTAATGTAACATTGAAATCAGAGAAGTCTATGTACATTTGCTGTTTATAGCTCCAGTTTAATTACTATGTGTTAAGTCGGCTAGACACTGAAATGAATTTTATGAATATCTTTCAAGACAGCAATATTTTGGACCTGCATATGAGAGAAAATACGATGGCAGGGGACAATACATTAAATGATCTTTATGCCAGTATTCTTGAAAATTCACGTTCTATGTAGGAAAATGTTAAATATGAGAACATTACGATAAAGGCTTGTTATAGTCCTAAAGTGTGGGATATATAAAATACCCAGATTTGCACATGTATAGTTGCAACACATGCTAAGCAGTACAGATTATTAAGCAAGATTCATTCCTTTATTGGAGAGGGAGGGGAGTAATTTACAGACAAGAGCTAAGCAATTCTGTTTAACACAACTCTGTCTAGTTGATCGTAAGGCATGTGTGGTATTTTTCCAAAGCCCGTCATCAATAGTAAAGCAATTTACAGCTCCAGAAATTTTTTAGAAGATACTCATTTTATTAAGAGTAAGTAAGATAGGTTGTGTGGAAAGATACACATGTATTTGCAATTCATATCGTTGCTGTGTTTCTATTGTGTTCTGAGCTTCCATCATGGCTGGGAGATGGGAAGCTGGCATGCAGTGCAGGAGGGTAAGACAGAAAGCCCCAAATAAATACTTAGAGCATTTTCTAATTATCTCTTATTATGACCACCTTTCTTTCCCCCGACCCACCCCGGGTGGAGGGGGGCAGTGGGGAGTGATGGAAAGAAGATGATTGTAAGTGCAGATCATATCCGTGCCATTAAATAATATTAATAATTCTTTTGGTCCACAGGATGATGTTTTCATTCTGGACTTTGAAGCTCCTCAGTCTACCCATTCAAAGCGATGACAGAAAAATGAATCTGAATGTGTAGGCATTAAACATTTAAATTCTCTACTCCCTGGTCATTATATTGACTGTCATATTTTACACCTTCCCCTCCCCCACTATGCTTTTGCTGATTTGACCTCATTTACATTGGCTCATTATGCATCCGGTCTTTGTTCTACTGAACAGAATACAGTACAGTGACAAAGCAAAACTTACGTGTCGGCTGGAATATTTTTCTGTTTTAAAAATTAAGTTTCACTACTTAAATTTATATTTGACTTCCCAATATTGTTTAAATTGGAGGCAAGTCTTTTCTTATACAATAACTATAATCTACATGCAATTATTTTAAGAGTGGTTAAAATTACCTCAAAATGTCATTAGGAAATGACATTTAAGACCTTTTATAACAAATATTCTACTGCTACCTAGGCAGTATTATCATATTAGAAGTATTAGGCTTTTCTTTCCAAACCTCTGTCTGAATTTCTATGTAGGCCCAAGGAGCAAGCTTTTATCTATTTTATATGAAGTTCATTGTTTAGAGCTGTCCCTTATGGGTCTTGTTTTAATGTATCAAACAACAAAGGTAATGTCAATCCTTAAAAAAAAAAAAAAAAAAAAATTCCTGCTTTGCATTTCTTGCAATTAAAAAGGTTATCTGATTTACAAACCAAATTTTCATTAAATTAAAAGGAAGTCCTAGCTGATCGATCACATAGAAAAATATGAAAGTTACATTGAGCTTTAAATGTCTATCCCCATGACAGTGCACACTATCTTTTCATTTGTTACAACCAATGGAGACATGGGATTAATCTAATACAGCCTAATTAAACACCCATTCACACATGAAGGTTTTTAATGGTACCAGTGGCTAGTGGCACAAATGCTACTTTGTATCACAGTTAATATTTGCATTTATTTGACATTGGACAATAGATATTTTTGAATACAAAGAAAATGGGAAAAATAAAATATTGTGGAGGATGCTTTTGAAAATACAAGCAATTTCTTGTTTCCACCAAGATAATTGCCACATATACAATGTAGGTTTCATTTCAGATATTTAGACCAAGATGCTTTTCTAATTTTTGTCATTTATCAAAATGTATAATCATGGTGACAGTGGCTACATGTCTAGGGCACCATCTTGGAAGAAAAAAGCATCATGTCTTCTTGGTTCCGTTAGTGACTCATTGTGTGAATTTTGGCTGGCGTCTCCTTTAACCTGCTTGTGCCTTGATTTTTTAACCTATAAAAAGGGAATATTCGCCCATTACTTACCCCTGTTGGGTTACTGTGAAGTTTAATTAGAATAAAATATTGCTCCTAGAATAAAAGTATCTTAAGGATGAAAGTTTTCGTTTTTTTTTCATTAACTTTTTACTACATGGTAGGGAATGCAGTGTTGTAGATTTGCCTGTACTCAGCCAATCTCTTTTTCTTAAGTTTGGAACTTTTGATTCTAGAGTTAATAAAAATAAAATCCAAATGCGTAATTAGATTTTTTAGAGATGGGAGCAGTCACCCACATCTTGGCAATTTACATTATATAATCTTATATCAGCTGCAAGATGCTTTTATGAGTATAACTGGTTTTAGAAAATGGCTTCTGCAGGAGAAATAGTCAACACAGTAGCATTCAAAATGACTTCAAGCTTGCAGGAGAGCTAGAAATTAGGCAAAGAACTCCTACCCCAATGGAACCACAAGGGAAATAAAGTAAATTAAAGTTTTATATCTGTAGTTACTTTGTAACTATCTTAAATTTTCCGTAGAGTCCTAGAAATTTTAGATATTAAGCAATATGTATCTCCAACGCAGAAATCTGTAAGATGGCATCATTTGAGCATTTATCTAGACTTACCTAAAAGACATCCCAAACTCAACACCATTTCCAAAATACAAACTGGACACAATTAACCCTATTTTCATACCTAGCGTTAGAATGGTGTTATTTAATGTCTTCACACTTCAACTGAATCATCTGTTATATAATGGAGTTGATGTAGATTATCAACGAGACCCTTCCAAGATCCAAAATGAACCTAGTCAGTATTTGGACATCACATCCTGAGAATTTTAGGCACCTGCCCAAATTTAAATATTGTATTAATTGTTCCATTTTTGTCCCTTTATATGATGAATGTTCACTAAATATTCAGTATATATCAGGCATTTGTTAAATTCTTGAAACCTAAAAAAGGAGCAAGTTGGAGGCACAGATAAAGACAACCTCGCTAAACTCTGACTGGGATCAAAGTCTATAAGGCATCTAATGACTTGACACACAGATGTGCTTTAAAAATATTAATGAGCATGATAGACTGTATTAATGTTGACTAATATCCTGTGTCTCTCACTACAGAAGGGTTATACCTCCTGCCTTCATGAAGTCAGGCTAGATACGTGAATTGCTTTGGCTAACGAAATACGTAATAGTTGTCTTGCAAGAGAAAGCTTCAAGAATCAGTCCAGGCTGGGCACGGTGGCTCACACCTCTAATCCCAGCATATTGGGAGGCCGAGGCGGGTGGTTCACGAGGTCAGGAGTTTGAGACCAGCCTGGCCAAGATGGCGAAACCCCATCTCTACTAAAAATACAAAAATTAGCCGGTCGTGGTGACATGAGCCTGTAGTCCCAGCTATTCTGGAGGCTGAGGCAGAAGAATCACTTGAACCCAGGAGGTGGAGGTTGCAGTGAGCCAAGATCATGTCACTGCACTGCAGCCTGGGCAACAGAGAGAGACTCCATCTCAAAAAAAAAAAAAAAGAATCAGTCCATATTCTTCCATTCTTTCTTTTATTTTTGCCACAGTCACCATCAATGTTCTAGAGAGTTTCTGCTCCACCAAATTATGTCCCAGAGTGAGGGCTGTAATGACATGGAACAAAATATCCAACAGATACATAATGGATACTGAATGAAAAAGAGGAAGGAGAAAAAAAAAAAAAACTTTACTGCTAAAGTCACCAGGATTTGAAAATTAAATATTATCATATTATAACTTAGCCCAGTGATTTTCAGAATGTGTTTTGGAGAACCCTGGGGTTACTGAAGCTTTTTCAAGAGGTCTATGAGGTCAAAATTATTTTTGTAATAATATGAAGATGTTATTTCCCCTTTTGCTCTCGTTCTCTCACAAATGCAGTGTAGAGTTTTCCAAAGGCTACATGGTGTGTGATATTGCAACAGATTGAATGCAGAAGTTGATATAAGAATCCAGCGGTAATTTTCACTGAATGTTTTTGTCCTCCCAAATCCGTATGCTGAAGCCCTAATCCCCAGTGTGATGGTATTTGGAAATGGGGCTTTTAGGAGGTAATTAGGTTTAGATGAGATCATAATGGTGGAGCCCCTGTGATGGGGTTAGTGCCCATATAAGAAAATGAAGAGACCAGAATCCACTCTCTCTCCTCCAAGTGAAGACATAGCCAGAAAGCAGTCATCTGTAAACCAGGGAGAGGGCCCTCACCAAGAAACCAACCATGGTGGCAGCCTGATTTTGGACTTCCAGCTTCCAGAACTGTGATAAATAAATGTTGTTTAAGTCACCCAGTCATAGCAGTTTGGAAGAGCAGCCTGAACTAACTAAGACAAGCAGGTTAAGGATTGGCAAAACTGTATAATGGTGCCATTTTCCTCACTAAATTTTTATTTTTTTTTGTAAAATTTCGTATTTTATATAAAAAAGTTATGTTAACATATAATTGATTTATTATAGTCATTTTCAATTAATGGATATTTTTAAATGTTCTTAATTTTAATTTCAAATACAAGAAAAAAATCAATGCATGTAACCAATATCAACAAAAACTCTTTAGGAGTCCTCCATAATTTTTAAAGTAAAGAAACCAAAAACCAAAAGTTTGGGAATTGACCTATCCTATTCTGACTGACGCAGTGAGTTTCACAAGGAGTAGCTTACTGGAGCTAATTAAGCTCTGTCATTTGTGGAGCTCTCTGGATAGAAAACTATAACTTTAAAAGTAGAGTTAGAACCAATCATACGATTTAGTTACTTAACAGAATGAGATGGGACTTTTCATGTTATGTAACAAAAGACTGGTTGTTGCCTAATACAACTGCTATAATAATTAGTCTAGACCCAGTCAACTGTCTCTTTGGTAGAGTTTGACTGAGTGTATTTTCCTCTTTATTCTGTAAAAGAGAGTAAATGCAATTTCTTGAAGTAAGTGTGAACATACATAAGCGAAACTGTAAGTCACCCTACACATGTACAATGTGTCTAATTTAGAGGGAAAAGGTAACAAGAGGGAATAGAAGAGGGCTTGTAAGATGAGAAAGTTTCAAATCACACTTTTGATATACAGACACATCCTGAGTGCAACACACCATCCCAAAGCAGAAAATCTGAATTTAAAATGTTTGGGCCCATTATCTCTCTTCCAGGCCAGCAATTTCTATATCAATTTACTCTTACTGGCATCGTGGTTCATAAATGGGTTTTCCATCGTTTCAATTCTTGATGTGCATTCCTTCAACTGGATCATAAGCTCCTTAAGAGTAACAATGATACCTTCTATTGAATTTGCCTCTGTCCATCCCCAGTGACTGCACCTAGTGCTCCACATGAGACTGGGACTCCATAAATGCCAGCAGATTAAGTAAAACAAGATAGCATCTTTTAACTTCAGAGCTCTTGGCAGGTCATAAAATAAATAACTGGTTAGTGGGGGTAGGTTTACTATTCCTGTTAACTTAAATATACCTAACACTATAAAATCAATATTCTGTGAAATATTAAATGGTCATTAAAGGCAAAAATAAACAGAACACATCTAGCACATACATCCCATTGAAGAACTATTTCTCTAGCCAGCATAATTCCTGGATGGACTCTGCTCTATTCCAACTGCCCTTCAGGGAAATTTTCATTTAAATATATTCCTCCTTTCTATAATATCCAGTTGTAGAAACTCCTAAAGCAGTTTATTATCTTAAAATATAAGATATTTCTTCTATAGTTTTTGAGTCACCCGCTTTTGTAGAAATCCATGTAGAATTTGTGGAAATTTCCTACTTATAAGAACCAACTAAAAAAAAATTTTATGAATAAGTGTTTGTATATAAAATTTTTATAGAATTTGCTGGTTTATAGACATTATCTATGCTGTATACATTATCCCATCTGAACTTCTCAACTAACTTGTAAGATAATTATTATGCTTACCCCTATTTTAAAGCAAAAGCACTGCCAAGTTAAGAGATACATCCAAGAACATGTATCTAGTAATGGAAAGCAAATTCAAGTCCAGAATCAATTCCAGAGTCACGACGCTTTCTAAACTGTTAAGATATGAACCTGATAGAAAAGTTTATTTTTATTCTTCTAATAAAGAATACAGTATTATTTCCCTGAAATGATTTCCAAATTGTATTATACAGACGAACTAATTGTTTTTCCACAGCTTGAGTGAATGAGGGCATAGGTGAATATTTCTAGTGTAAATATAGGCAATTGGAATTTTTGCAGGTATTCCTGAGGAAAATCACTCTTTCTGAACTTCAAAATGTTTATTTTTCATTTAATTCTTTATTGTGTCCCTTAATTGAATTTTCCTTTATAAAAAATCCATTTATAAATTTGAACAAAGTCTAAGTGTTAAATAACTCAAGTAGATTGCCTTGGAAATAACCTAGAGATACTTCTTCAAATTAAAGAAAAAAAGGAGTATTATGGTAACACTTTTCTTGAGATTTCTAGTAGGTTGGATGGTAGTGATTGTTAATACAATAGTTAATCCATTTGTATTTTCAGCAGCTACTATAATAAAAATAATTAATGAGCCTTTCATTTAGATTTTCTGGTGATTTTTTATTACTATACTTTAAATTCTGGGATACGTGTGCAAAACGTGCAGGTTTGTTACATAGATATACATGTGACATGGTGGTTTGCTGCACCCATCAGCCCCTCATCTATGTTTTAATCCTCTGGTGAATTATTAACTGGAGGTTGTTTCTCATAAAAATTCTCTTAAAAATCAGTTGAAAACCTCTACCCCTAATCTAGAACGCAGAGTTATTTAAAGTTAAAAAGCAAACATTAAGCTCTATACCATGATTAATAAAAGCAATGGACTAAAAATTACTATTTTTTGCTTGGTTTCTAATAGCAATAATCATAAAAGCATATGTTTCCCTCCTTCTTTAACTACAAAGTTTGATACAAAAAGTTATGAACACTTACACTCTTTACAAGAGTTCAGAAAGCTAGAACGGTATTAGAAGGCAAGGATAGGCAGGTGAGATGGAAGCAGCATTCCAGAACTGCTATTATTCACCCTTTTCCTCGAGAGGTTTGAAATCCTACCTCAAGTTATTACACATGTGCAATGATTGTCAGGGTACTCTAACTCTTATCTGGCAGAAATATGTAAATCAAAGAAAGCTGCGGTCCAAATGTTATTTTCTTAGTATCTCAAAATTCATAGTACAATATTTCCTTGACATGACTTCTTCATTTCTTTCAAGTAATACTTTCCCCTGGTCCTTCCACGTGTTTAGGATGGTTGCTCTTGGGCCTTTGCAAGAAGTCTCTTAGTCTAGAAACCTCCTGCATTAACCTCTTCTCACATCCTAAAAGATGTCTTATTTCTTTGAGTGACCTCTATAATCTCAACCACATTTACATGTATATGAAAACCACAAAGAAACCTACTAGACTCTTGATAGTTCTAGATTTATCATTCATGGTTTTCCCTCACTAGATTAAAGACTCCATAAAGACAAGGATCTTGTCTTACTGATGAGATGCTCAACATTTGTTGAATGAATTAAGCAGATGACAGATGATGAACATAATGGCTTACAATGTGCAGTCTATGATGTTGTCAGGTATAGATTTGAATTTAGTAGAGGATGAGGTTGGTCTGTAGGAGAGTCAGCAAGGTATTGAATTAGCTTAGGAAACGACTTGCTGTTCGGAGGGTAAATAGTTTTCTGTGGTGGCATTGGGAATCTTAGAATTCCCACAGCCCCTTCTCCAGCTCTAGTGAAATTTAAGGGCCTACCTTATACAATACTTCTTTATGGACACGGCACAGTGCAGCAGTGAGGGCAGGGACTTTATAGCCGGATTCAGTTCAAGTCTCAGACTTGGCACTTACCAGCTATATGACCCTGGGAATATAAATATCACTCACTTTCCAAAATCGTGAGGCTTAAAGAAGATCTTAACACAAATCCAAACATAGTAGGTGGTCAATAATTGTTATTTATTTTTATTATCATAAAATTTCTAAGTGATCTCCTGGACAGTCAAACTGGACCTCTAATTTAGGATAAATACATTAGTTAATATAAGAATAAGACAATGTCTGAAGAAGAGTTAATTAGGTTTAGAATTCAGTTTAGAAGAAATGCTTTATATTACTGGAAGAAACTGGAGCTGTTAGAGATTACAGTATAAACATCTATAATTGACAGTCAGCTATGTGGAGATTTTAACACTAGTTTTTATTAAGCTTCTGCGCTGTGAGACTCAACCTCAGTAAAAGCCATCAGGAATCAGACACATACATTTCAGCATGTTGAAAAGAAGAGATATCAGTTACTGTTGGTGCCTGTATAGCCATCATAACTTCAAAGCGGAACCTGTTTATTTTTATTTTGATAGCATTTAAATAATCCAAAACAAAGAATTATCTACCTGCAGTTTAAACTAGAATTTTGAGAATTTTGTTTGCTTGCATTTAAAAATAGGCACAGAGGTTTTCGTAAGTTGTAGTTCAATTCTTCTTTTCAAGTTTAATCATCATGGGTGGCAGCATCCTCAGTACAAAGTATTTTATTGACTTTATCAATGAGCAGCATTTTGTTGAAACAAATTAATCTTTCCATATTTAAAGGGTCAAATCCTAGAGTATGTCAAGCATTTGTAAGAAATTTAAGTGAGTCTGCCATTCATAGCCATACTGTGTTTTAAATTCAATGCCTACAAAGATAAGCTATGGAGAAATGACCTTTTTTTTTTTGAGAGGGAGTCTCACTCTGTCACTCAGGCTGGAGTGCAGTGGTCTGATCTCGGCTCATTGCAACTTCTGCCTCCCAGGTTCAAGCAATTCTCCTGCCTCAGCCTCCCGAGTAGCTGGCACTACAGGTGTGCATACCACACCCAGCTAATTTTTGTATTTTTAGTAGAGACGGGGTTTCACCATGCTGGCCAGGCTGGTCTCAAATTCCTGACCTCAAGTGATCCACCCATCTCGGCCTCCCAAAGTGGGTGGGATTACAGGAGTGAGCCACCACACCTGACCAAATTGACCTTGCCAAAATCCATTTTTTAACTATTTCTATGAGACAGGGAGAAATATGAGGACAATGTAAATATCTCTAAGCATAGTTCCATGAAGTACCAAGAACAAGAAGTAGTAAGTCTTCTTAAGTGGGAATTATGGAGGGAAAGTTCTCAGTCTTACCAGTGAACTGATAACCATGCCCTGTGGGCACTTTCTAGTTCTGATCTAATTTATCTTGCCTGTTGCATATCATATTATTGATCTTTCTTCTAATTATCTCCTATTCCACAGTAATATTCTTAAAGTTTACCTCCTACTTGTTCAGCTATTTCTTCTCATTTTCATGGATTATTCTGCCCTAAGTTTTCGTCCTCAACCTCTTCTCTATTCTCAAGTTACTCCAAGCAGGGTCAGGGGACCATCTGCAACAAAACAACATCTTTAATGCTTGTTAAAATTCAGACTCCTAGGCCCATTTCCACTCTCCTGAGTTAAAATCTCCAGGTATGGGAGAGACAAAATTGTTTTCTGTGGTGGCATTGTGAACCTGAGAATTCTCAAAGGCCTCGTTATATGTTCTCTGTGAAATGCAGGGGTCTATTTTATATAATGCTTGTATTTGAGGCAACATGGTACAGGACAAAGGGGAGAGACTTTACAGCCAGATTGCTTGGGTTCATATTTCAGTTTTGGTATTTAATAGCTTTGTGACCCTAGGAAAATAAACAGCACCCGCTTGCTGAGATGGTGAGGTTTAAAAGATAACATATGTAAAGGGCTTTATGCAATGTTACACATAGTAGGTTCCTTTTTTAACAAGCTTCTTGGTGATTCTAATGCAGACCAAAGATAGAGAACCACTGGGTGATATCATCCATTGCCAAGATTTCAAATCAAATCCATGTTTAGGATGATTATTTTAAACTCTCCAGTGACTTCCCATTGTATAAGATCCTACATCACCTCATCCTTGCTTTTCTTTCCAGCCTCCTCTCTTGCCTTCCTTTCTACTAAAAACAAGTTGTACAGAAATTTTTCAGTATTCTGTTTTGGCTCTCAGCTTCCCTACTGACTCTTCATTCTTTCTGAAATAACTTTCCTCTGTAGGCTCCTTTACCAGACTCATCCAGTTCATCTTGTAAGTCTCAGCCTAGATGTCAGAGCCCTCCCAGATCACCAGGTCTAGGTTTGGTGTCTCTCCTATGAATTCTCATAGCACTCTGATCCTCCCCTAGCATTACATGTATCACATTTTATTGCACTTGCTTAGTTATTTGTTTCTATCCCCTATAAGGTATTTCCAGTTCCATGTTGTGGCATTTAATATATGCCTCATTAATAGGTGCTTTACTTACGTAAATTGATAAATGGATGAATGAACAACTCACAGAGATAGGCTTCCAGATCAGACCTCTTCCCTAAGCCTTCATATCAAACTGGACTTGTGAAAAATGAAACTCCTTATCTTTCCCCATCAAAATGGTTCCTTCCCCTCTCTGTTCTTTTCAGTAAAATACATAAAAATTTGCCCAATTTCGGGCGAAGGATGTGAACAGACACTTTTCAAAAGAAGACATTTATGCAGCCAACAGACGCATGAAAAAATGCTCATCATCACTGGCCATCAGAGAAATGCAAATCAAAATCACAATGAGATGCCATCTCACACCAGTTAGAATGGTGATCATTAAAAAGTCAGGAAACAACAGGTGCTGGAGAGGATGTGGAGAAATAGGAACACTTACACTGTTGGTGGGACTGTAAACTAGTTCAACCATTGTGGAAGACAGTGTGGCGATTCCTCAGGGATCTAGAACTAGAAATACCATTTGACCCAGCCATACCATTTCTGGGTATATACCCAAAGGAGTATAAATCATGATGCTATAAAGACACATGCACATGTATGTTTATTGTGGCACTATTCACAATAGCAAAGACTTGGAACCAACCCAAATGTCCATCAATGATAGACTGGATTAAGAAAATGTGGCACATACACACCATGGAATGCTATGCAGCCATAAAAAATCGTGAGTTCATGTCCTTTGTAGGGACATGGATGAAGCTGGAAACCATCATTCTGAGCAAACTATCGCAAGAACAGAAAACCAAACACTGCATGTTCTCACTCATAGGTGGGAATTGAACAATGAGAACACTTGGACACAGGGTGGGGAACATCACACACTGGGGCCTGTTGTGGGTCGGCAGAAGGGGGAGGGATAGCATTAGGAGATATACCTAATGTAAATGACGAGTTAATGGGTGCAGCACACCAACATGGCACATGTATACATATGTAACAAACCTGCACATTGTGCATAGGTACCCTAAAACTTGAAGTATGATAATAAAAAAAATTGCCCAATTTCTAAAGCCAGACTGTTGAGGATTATCCAAAGCTGCCCTACCTCCCTTATCCCCGTATCCAATCTGTTATACTGCACATTAGCAATAGCCTAGCTCAGGAGATTTTTCCAAAGTGTGATTATTGAGATTTGATTCAAGAGGGTATTTTGAGTGTACATGTTTACCTTCCCCCTTTTCTAAAAACTCATCTCATTGAAAAAGAAGTACAAAAGGGAATATATTTATAACTGTTCTGAGAACAGGAAGACCAGAGAGCCTGATGACGTTCTGTAACATGAGTAGCAGGTAGAAACTATCATATTAATAGGCAAACAAAAGTAGGAGCCTCCATTTCAAACAAACATAGGAAAAAGCTCTAACAGAAAGAAAAGCACTGTTCCTGACCATGAAGCCACAGAGAGACTCCAAAGGAACAGGTACAAAGATTGGGGATGGATAAGGAAGGTGATTGATTGAAAGACTGTCCACAGGCAGTGTTACAAACCTCAGCTGATCATAAGATTAACATGGGGTTCTTGTTAAACAGAGAGAATCTCTGAACTTATCCCTGAAGACTCTCGTTCAGTGAGTCTGGCAATATAACCCAGGAAGTTGGATTTTTAGCAAGAGTCCCATGTGATTTTTATGGCAAACAAGTTTGGGCAATATTGGAATATGGACAGCTCTTTGTTCAGGAACCACATTCCTGCCACTCCCACACAGATTGATGTGGCATACAGAATTAGCGTTTGCCCCACATTCCATATTTAAATCAGATAATTAACTTCCAAAGAGATGTTAAAATCATCTGGGATAACTAACAGAGATAGTAGCACCCCAAAATAAGGCTGTCCACATTCTAGCATTTGGAAATGCCAGATACTTCCCCAGCTGAGCATCTGAAAGTGAGTCCTGCCAGTCTGTGCGCCCAACCACACACAGAGAGCTCTGCTAGTCCCTCTACTCAAGGAAAAGCCTTATTAGGGCAAACAGATAGGGAGTTAGTCATGTTAACTCCCTAGACAGGCATACATGTAAATAAAAACCTAAACTCACCAAACATTTGAAGAAAAAATGATAGTATCAAAGAGAGAAAAAAAGCGGAACAAGTAGAATCTAACAAACCTTAAAAAACAAAAAGCAGAGATGTGATGGATGCTGAGATAAACCACACAGATCCCTCTTCAGAAACAAATGATTTATTCTCCAGTTGCTGGGAGAGCTGCCCCCAGAAAGCCATAAGGGATTGCATTGGCTGAAGACAGCCACCTCACCCAAGATCATACTCCTTCCTGATGGCTACCATATCCAGTGACTGGGAAGCATGGATATATAAAGTCCTAGCCTCCTTATCCCAATGTGGAGAAACACTGAAGAGTCATCCCTGCAGGATAGTTCTCTAGGTGGCTGTGGATTGGCTCTGTTCTCCCCTATTTCTTGCTTAAGAATAACTATAGAATGTGCTGGGAATGCAGCATCCTGAGATGGGTGTGGAGAGAAGCTGGCAAGAACAGCCTGGGCTCTGTCCCAATCTCCCACTAGAACAGGATGACCTTCAACACTTTAGCCCAGTGATCATGTGGCCCTGAGACTTAGGGTAGGCTGCTTCCCAGGGTCCCTGAGCTGTGATGCAAGTGGGGCGTGCAGGGGATCTCCATGCACCCCAAGTAGCTTTTTGAGCCTTGGGGGACCAATTCATAATGAACCCTAGGCTTCTGTTGTCCCTTGCTGCCTATCTGTAAGTAATAAACTTGCTTCATGTAACTTTCTGCACATGAGTATGCTCTCTCTCACCAGACTTAGAAAAGTTGGTAATCAGAGCACAGCGAACCTGCTTCACAATCCCAGCTTCAGAACTCCCCAAAGCTTGGATGAAAACTCCACTGAGATTGCATTGGAGCTCAACTTTTCCCTCTGCTCAGTCCTGAATCCTTTTCTTCTCTTCACTTCCTCAGGTGTTGATCCCAAGGATACTTCCTAATAAACCTCCTGCATGCCAATCTGGAACAAGACAATATTTAGTAAATAGAAAAAAAAAGATTAAAAAAAACTTCAGGGAGATTGAGTTTACACATGTATAAAACAAAAACATGCAACTATGGAAAAGATGAGAAGAAAAATAAAGAGGTACTGGAAATTTACAATATAATATTTGAAATAAAGAATTTAATTTAAAAAACAGAACCAAGTTGAGAATATATCACAAAAAGTACAATAGAAAAATAGATCATAAATACAAGAAAAACTTAAGAGATACAGAGTTACTCTAGGAGGTCTAATATTCATACAACTAAGTCTGAAAATGATTTTTTAAAGAAAGGAAGAGAAATAATCAAGAAACAAGTAGAACAAAATATCCATAGGTGGAGAAGGGTCATCTCTAGATCAAATGTACCACAACATGATAAGCAGAATGAATTTTAAAAAGACCTATAACTGTATATTCCTTCCAAAATTTCTGAACACCAAGATTTCCAGATAGTTTTGTAAAAACTTCCAGTATGAAAGAATAGAAGTTTAAAATAAATATGAATGAGAATGACATCTCACTACTGATGCTAGAGGAAAATGACACAATATTGGTAAGAGTGTTTTCTTTCTGATGGTTTTGAATAAAGGTAGAATCTGTCTTCCTACCTTTTACCTTTTTCAGCTTCTAGAAGCCACCCACATTCCTTAGCTTGGATCCTTTCCTCAAATCAATTCAACTTCTTGCTTCCATTGTCACAACTACCAATGACTCTGATCCTCTTGTTGCTCTCTTATAAGGACACTTATGATTACATTGGATGCACCAGATAATCCAGGGGCCTGTCTCCATCTCAGGATAATTAATGTATCACATTTGCAAAGTCCCTTTTAGCATATTAAGGTCATATATTCACAGGTTCCAGGAATTGGAACATAGATATCTTGGGGGCCATTATTCAGCCTACCACAGTCCCATTCTAACATCCTGTTTTCCATGTGTTGGTTTTATTCAGAAAAAGTTTGTGATTATTATTAATCTGACACTTAATTTTATTGATTCAACTCTCCTAAATGGCTCTAAATAGTCAACAACTCCTTTCTGCCGCTGTCTTTGTTCAGTCTTTTCTCATTTTTGGCCTACACTACATCAGTGGTGAGCTGTTGGATCTCTCACCTAGTCCATCTTCCTTCCTCCATTATGGTTATGGGATTGAATTTACCGAAAGCAAGCCAATCTGCTACTCCCCTATATAACATAAAATGTATCTTCATGGCCTTCAGAATAAATTCTAAATCCATTTGTGTTTGGCCACTGGCTACCTCTCTCTTCCCTCATCCACTAGCAATTCCCAAACATACTGTTACATGTGCTTCATACACTTTCCTGAATGGGCCACATTCTGTCGTTTCTTTTCTAGCACTTCTGCTTTGTTTTTGTTTTTGTTTTTGTTTTTTGCCTGGAAGACCCATCCCCTTCCTCAGTCTGACCTCTTTCCAGGTGTCCCTCAAGACTCAGTTCATTCACACTTTATGCCTTCTTGTAAGCCTTACCTGACCACATTCCTGGGCTCTTCACTTCTCTCCTGCAGACTTCTTCATGATACTGAAAGACCTTCAACTGCAGCCTGCATGTCTCTGTACTATAAGCATTGGCTTATTTGTCTGTCATTATAAATTGTCTATGGAGATTCTTTGAGGACATTGACAATGTAATCTATTTCTATGTCTTGGCAGAAGGCCTGGCATACCCTCAAAATAGTATTTCTTGGGTGAATGAATAAACTCTGATATGTTTTGGCCAATCACCTTTTTATAGCTGTTACTCAGTATCTTTTCTTTAAATCTATCTAGAGTTTTCCCAGATATCTATATGGACAAACTTTTATACACACACACACACACACACACACACACACCCCACTTTCTACTATCTATTCTAACCATTGAGTTGGCAAATATCCATTAGCATACATTTTGCACACCAAGTGCACAATATATACTTGAGTTAAAATAGACTGAAGTTGTATCAAAAAACCACTGTGGAAAATGAAGGAAAACTGGAGATTTCTTCCCAAGAAGTTTCCTTCAAATTTTACTATTTTAAATTATAAGAAAGCTAACCTGACCATCACAAGCATATCTCATGTTTGTACATCATGTCACAGTTTTCACAGGTTTTAAAATCAAGTCTCCATTTGATTTTCAAGATGGTGTGAGACAGACTAGGTATATATTATCCCAATTTCAGAGATGCAAGAATAGAAGCTTAAGAGAGTGTGAGTTCTTAAAAGGAATTCACAAAAATTAGAAGTTTTAAAATGGAAAGTAGAACAGTGGACTCATCTGAAAAGTTTGTGAAAATACTGATGCCTGATCCTCCCCCCAAAACAAGTAAATTAGACTTTTGGGGAAAGAGGGTATCTCTGGCATCTGTATGTTTTGAAAGCTCACCAGATATTTCTACTAGGCAGCCGGAGTTGAGAAGCACTCAATTAGAAGCCAGGTGTTGTGATTTTACTTCTATGGTCTTTATTGAACGGCATAATGCCAAGTCACATAGGTAGTATATTATATCACCCAACTGGTGATGGCATTAGGTTACTTTTGTTATGGTGCCTCAGTGTAGTAAAGATAAAAATTTTTACTTGGTTTCACCAGTTGAGTTAATATTTGTTAATGCTTTTTAAGGAGAGGGTAAGATGGCCAACATTTAAATAGCATTCAAGACTTCAGTTCTAAGCATGTATTTTCCTAGCACCTTGATAACTAATAACAAGTCTGACTGTGGGAAAGAAGGGAATGGGTGGAAAAATGGGGAGGCAGGCATGATATATGGCAACAAATGTGTTCCATGTCTCTTAGATACTGCAAGAGAATGATTCCTAACCAAACCCAACCCAAATGCTGTCTCTCAAGTAATTGAGGAAAGTTCCTAACCCCCCTTAACTTGAGGTTTCCTCATTTGCACAGGGCATATTGATGGTAGCTTGGTAGATCACTTAAAATATTAGTTCCTGAAAACAGAATGATAAACGTGTCTCCATGTCATTGTCACATGAGGCTGATTGGTAGGTAATGCAAACCTCACAAGGGCATTCTAAGGAGTAAACAATGATTACATAGCTCTTGGAACTACAAATAGCACTCATTAAAAAATGTTACCATGCACATGCTTTCTGCCAAGGTAAACTGTAATTTACACTTTTACCCTAGGCATAATTGCTAGTTTATTCTTTTTTTCTATTCACACCCATCTATCCCTCCCTTGGGCTTCAAAAAAGCCACAAGAGTTTTTACGAAAATCATCTTTAAAACATGTATTTACCCTCTTTTTGAACCCTCAGACTAGCTCTTTATTACTCCAGGGCATTTTAAATTTTTCTAAATTTGTTTTGGAGGCTATGGGTGTACTCTCCCCTCTGTATGCATTCATAACCCCCAGTAACTTCCATGGGAATCAGATACACATGTATCAAAGTGAAACGAGGCTCTTGTACATGTTTAAATCTGATTAAAATCTATTTGTGATAAAATTAAAAGTAAGAACTAAAATCTAGGGAAAAGAGTATAAAAAATATGAGATCATGTTGTGCATAATTAAAGGAGTTTACATTTATGGATAACTAAAATGGCATACAATCCCCGGCACTATTTCCAATATGTCCTCAGTTTCAAGTTATTTACTGTAAAGCGCCCATATTTTAAAATGAAATGTGTGTAACTGTCTCACAAACTATGCTTGGCCCTGTATATCTTGGTTCTGTGTCATAAATACAGAAAAGCAAAAACACTGTTTTGACCAATATTAAGTCACCTGTGGGTAGAATTTGATCTTACCTATTTACTGTCAGATTTTAAAATTATGTCATAAACACTTCCAAAATTTGCATATATAAGTCTGCCTACATATATGCCCATGAAAATTGAGTAATGGAGTTCCAAACAGTCCAATTTTTTCTTATAAAACCAGATCTGTGTAGTGCATACCCTCTATGAACATTACTAGGAGGCAAATACAAACTTTACATACATATTTTAGTGATCCTTTGAAATGTTTGCTTTGAAATACAGATATATCATACATGCAAATAAATACACTAATTCATCCATGCATTTAATGATATGAAGTCAACTCTAAACCCCACAGCAGTAAGAGGTTCAATATTAAAATTCATTTCCACTTTACAAATAAACACTGTGCACTGCTCAGATAAAATGTGAGAAAATATGAAACTAGGTGTTTTTCAAACGTAGTTTAAAATAAATGGATCTTTACTGACCAACATAGTCAGTCTGGAGAAATCTGGTAAGGTATTTCTTCAACTGTGCTAAGTTAGTGTTTAGTCATGAGCTAAGTAAATAATACTTTATTAAATCATACTCTTATGAAAGGAAAGCATCAAATGCAGCTTTCAGAAGCACCCAAGGAACATCTAGGAAGTCAATAGCTTGGGAGAATATGTTTTTCCCTTATATAGGAAATTACAATGTAACTAGATTTGAAATAAGCATTGTAAAGTTAACAGATATGTATGATGGGATACAGATGTTTTAGTAATGCGCTATTCTAAGCACAATATGATTTTCCATTCCCTAACCATATTTGAATGGAGACGAGTTAGGCTATTTGAAAATACTGAAGATCTTCACCTTTTTGCACTCTCTTAAATTTTTCACATTCTCCTTTGGAGCAGCTGCAGTCTATCTTCTCAAATGAACTGAGCTACCCAGTCTCAATACAGAGCGTTTAATTAAAGTGGCTATACAATGGCAACTGTTTTACAGAGATGTCAGATGACTTTTGCTAACACTTTTGCAATAACTATAGTAATTGATACCATTCATTAAACCCCTACTACAGTGTAAGGACTGTGATAAATACTTTATAAACAGATTTGCTAACCCTTAAAAGTAAGTTTACAAAATACGTATTTTACAGATTAGTCAGATGATAGTGTGTGAGTAGTAGAGCAGGATTCACATCTAAGGTCAACAGTCTCCAGTGCTGAGCTCCCCTCTACCTCCTGTGGACTCCCCCAGTGTCAGAACCTCACACACTTCACAAAGTGGATACCTACATTCAGGTTCTGACACTGTTTAGGAAAATCCCATAGAATGTGGCCAAATCAGCACCACTTTTTAATTTGGCTCAAGTTAAAGAGCCAATTGAAAGCTATCCAGCCAGGAATTGATGGAATGAGATTTAAGAAAGGAGGTCATAAGAGAGGACACCTGAAACTAGACTTAACTCCCTACAAATTACAATTCAATGTTCACCCTCCTCTCTTTCTTCAAAATGCTAAAATAGCAAAAAGAATACACAAAAATCGATAGTAAAGACCAGAAATACATTGGAATCTCCAGCTCATGGCATGACAATATTTCAGGGAGAAAAATTTTAATTCTTACCTAGGAGCCACTTATGAAAAACATGAATATTCACACCTTCTTTAAATTAAGATCTATTTATAAACTGTTGCTTATCCTTAAATTACACTTAAATTCTTCCTAAAGATCAGATCTTGATAACGAACTTATAGTAAAAAAGAATAACATGTAGTAAAAAATAAAGAGTTGTTTTTCTGTTTTTGTGTCTTTTTTAAGCTAAAAGGGACCTTAGGGAATTGGTTTGTCTAATCCCCTCATTTAAATGGAGGAAAAAAACAATTATTGGTATTTTGTTTAGATATAAGAGTATTACTATGACATCTTACTATAAATGTTCTCATTTCATCCAAACATAAGAAGATTGTGTTGGGGATTACCTTTTTAAAAAGCCATTACATTGCATTATATTCTTTGTCTCATGACATCCTCCTGGTCAGCTATGTATGGCATAAGTGTGATGTGATGACTACTCTGGGTCCAGTGTAAACTAAGCCAATGTTATTATTACTAACTTTTTCTATTTGGTTGCATATATGCATCCACAAATCACAATTTGTCCTCATTTCTTGCCTTACCATAATCTCTGAAAGGGCACGACCCTGTCTGTTTTATTTGCCACTGTCACCAGAACTTAGGACAGTGTCAGACCCATAGTAGAAAGATAATAAATACTCCTTGAATGAATACAATGCCAACTTTTCTGCCAAAAATAAGCAAAGGTGAATCTTAAAACTAACATTTGCCTCTCTCCCTTACCTAGGCAAATAGTCCATCATCAAGTCCTCTCAACTTTCCTTACTAGTTCTTCAATCTATTTCCACGACCATCCCTCTAGTCCAAGCAAGTTACCAGGCTCTTGTCTCAAATAAAGTGAAAAATCTACTCCCTGGCCCCTCCCAGTCCTCTCTGGCTTGACATGGATCAGGTCTCCACACGCTGCAGCTGAAAGACCCATGATGACATATGGCTGACTGGGTCACAGCCCCTTATTCATTTCTTAGGGCTGCTATAACAATTTCCCACAAACCCGGTGGCTTAAAACAACAAGAATTTATTTTCTTATAGTTCTGGAGGCCAGAGTCTGAAATCAAGGTGTCTACAGGGTTGTGTTTCTTCCAGAGGCTCTAGGAGGCAATCTGTTCCTTGCCTCTCCATTCTCTGATGGCTGTCATCATTCCTTGACTGTAGCTTCTCACTCCTATCTCTGCCTCCATCTTCACATGGCCCTCTCCTTTGGGGTCCTTCTCTTTTGTCTCTTAGAAGGACGTGTCATTGGATTTAGGGGCCACTGGGATAACACAGGAGAACTCCATCACAAGATCCTTCACTTAATTATGTCTACAAAGGCCCTTTTCCCAAATGAGACTACATTCACAGGTTCCAAGAGTTAGCACATGGACATAGCTTCATGGGGGCCACCATTAAACCTACTACACTTCCTTTCTCAAGATATTTCCACAATTGCCACTTTCTCTTAGGATAAAGGCCAAGGTAGATAAATGGACTAAAAAATCCTTGAGTGGTTTGGCCCTCGATTCATCTTGTGCTTCTTTCCTAAACAACTTCAACTTTTGCTTTATTTCCATTTCTCCCCTCAGTATCTTCCTCCCACCTGGGGCAGTTGCAAATGCTTTTTCTTCTACAAATGGAAAACTCCTTCATACACCACCCTACTCAACCTTTTGCAGAGCCTTCCCTAGCACCCCAACCTCACCCCTAGACAAAGCCTGCTTGCTCTGTTATACTGAGCAGCAAATTGCTTTCCATAAAGACATATCTGTTTGTAATTATTCTTTCATGAGTATGATGATATGATTAATGCCTGGCTCCTCCACTTGTCTGAAGCTTCATGACAGCAAGAATCATATATGTTGTTTAGTTTTTTTGTTTGTTTGTTTGTTTGTTTGTTTGTTTTTACCTGCTAACGTATTTTAGATACTAGCACAGGGCTTAACACATACTAGGAAGGCAGCAAATGTTTGTTTATAAATAAATGAATGAATGAATTATTGAGAGAGTAGATTAATTAATGAATATATTTACATTCAATTTTATTCCAACTTTTTGGGGTCATTCTAGTAAAATGGATTAATTAGTATTGATAGGATATTACAATAAATCTAATAAAAAAGATTACATATACACCAAACTGACATGCTTACCAACTTAAATGAAGAATTGAGTCATTAACTCAGAATAAAACTGTACTTGTATGTATCAAATCTCCAAATAACCTTGACTTTATTTTTTAGTACAGGCACAACCTACAATTCAAGTCTATTAATAATCTGCCAGTTTATCACTAATCACTAAATTTGAGTTAATGGGATCTAATAGATCCTACCCTCCAGAAATTCACTATGAAATAGCAAACCATTTCCTCTAGAAAGAGTAACAGATTTTGTATAAAATATAGCTCTCACCTTTTGTGATTCTGCAAGAACCCCATACTAACAATGGTGTTAGCTGAGAGAAGACTGGCTCATGTTAAATCCAAAGTCATGAAATATCCATGCTATAGCAGGGGTATATTTTATTTTATGACTTAAATAAAAACACTTCTAAAATCACATATCCTGTGATAATAAGATTCAAAAAAGAGCCTAGGGTTATTGGAACACATGAAATTCAAGCCTGAAAAGAATTTAGTTGGTTTAAAATTATTTGAAGACCATATGAAAGTATGGAATCTCCTTCTAGCTTCAGCTTAATACCTACTATCACTATGGGGATATAAGTAGCTAGCAAAAAAATCTTCCTGCTTTATGATTCATATTCCTACATAGAATGTTTCCTAAACTCTGTGTTCACTGAAGGAAAGACTATGACTAGAGTATATTTAGTTAATCATTAGTTCATGTATAACATAAATCCCAAAGAATTCTCAAGGTTATGATAAATTAAAGCTGTCTGTATTATGACTCCTCCTACAATGAGGAAATAAATCTACCAGTATAATATATATAATTACTTTTGCATGCTGAAAATTATTAAAATGGTATATGTAGTCACTATGTATATACTATCAGTTTTTCTATATACTTAATTCTGAATACTTTTTAAATTAAAGTCATTTAGAATGCTAAAATCAAAGAAGTACTCAGTGAAAGTTATTTTCATGCAAAAAGTTCATTGAGAGTTCCAATTTATTTAAAGACTAGAGGGTTTGCAGGCTGGAAAGGCAAACAAACAAACAATAAATATATAAATAAATAAAGACTGGAGGAAATTGTATAATCATAAACAAATACCCTAAGTGATATTATCATATTCCGCTATATTTTCAAACTGCATAGATTTAAAAGACTATTTCAGTGACTTTAAGATGAATTTTTACATGTGGGTCTCCATTTTGCTGATCATAAAATAGCATTATAAGGATTAATTTCAAAAACTGAAAGATTTCCAAATCTAAACAACATAATAAACAGAAAGGAGTAGATGATCCTGTAGTACAGCATCATGAGTATAAACTTCATGTCACTTGTTAGGTAACCCACTTTATTTCATTTGCGTTTTAACATTAAGGAGAACTCTCAGTATGATAGCAATCATGTTCAATCATCGATAAATTCTCTTTGTCACAGGAGGTCATAAGAGGAAGTAAAACTTTTTTATATCACTTCTGGTTCCATTGACTAAGATTCCTTTTAAAATATTGGTGTTTACCATGTCTCATAGACAGATGGCATTCCCAGGCTTATCCATCCTCTGACTCTGGGCTTCAGGCATTGGAACTTTTGCTGGATAGACATCATCAATACAGAGTAGCCCAGACTTATTTCATGGACATTTTCTCCATTTCAACTGTGTCACCATAGCTTTGCAGAAAGGACCTCCTGGTCGAATTTCTAGATTATTCCCAAAAATCATTTTGGTAATTGTTTTTCTAGAATAAAAGTCAATAAACTATTTGCTTTCTAAAAATCCAGTTTTAAGTGGAGTGTGTGTGTGTGTGTGTGTGTGTGTGTGTGTGTGTGTAAAGAGCTGCCTATATGACATCAATAAGCTCATTTGTGAGTACAGAAGTTTTATGAGGAAAGCTTCTTTTGGTCCTTACAGCAACCCACTAGTACAGAATGATATGCATAGATCAAGGGATAACAATATTTCTATGCTTGTAAGGAAGAAGATACATGGAATATCCTAATTTTAGAATTGTTTCAAATGGAATCAGGAGTGGATTTTATGTAAACAATATTTAAGCTAAATTCAAATATTCTGTGTCTACAGCAAGTAAGAACTCACGTATTTTTACCCAGTATACAGTTGATAAATAGGCACCTAATAAGCAAAAGGACTTCATGAGGGGTAAGAGAAAGCACAAAATTATTTAATACAATGAATAACTTCATCATCCCAATCTAAATCATCCAAGCAGGGCCAGACACAGTGGCTCATGCCTGTAATCCCAGCACTTTGGGAGGCCAAGGCAAGCAGATCATTCGAGGTCAGAAGTTCAAGACTGGCCTGGCCAACATTGTGAAACCCCATCTCTACTAAAAATACAAAAAAATTAGCTGGGCATGGTGGTGCACACCTGTAATCCCAGCTACTAGGGAGCCTGAAGCAGGAGAATTGCAACGGCGGTTGCAGTGAGCCAAGATCACGCCACTGCATTCCAGCCTGGGTGACAGAGTGAGACTCCATCTCAAAAGTAAATAAATAAATAAATAAAAATAAAAAATAAATAAATCATCCAAACTTTTAAAAGAAATTGAGGCGAGAGGAATGAAATAGATCTTAGTCTTTATATAAACTAAACTAATTTTGAATTTGTTATCAAAATTGTTATGTGAAGAAGATGTAGCTTTGAAGAAAACAAATTGAAACTAAAGAGGCAGTAGGCGGAGTGGTTAAACACATGAACTCTGGAGTTAAACTGCCTGGATTTGAACCATGACTGTGCTACTTAATATAACAGCTGAGTGATCTTGGGTTTGTTACTTAACTTATCTGTGCTGTTTTCTCATCTGCAAAGGGAGATAATAATGCCTATTTCATACGGATGTTATGAGAATTAAATGAGCTAAAATGTGAAATTCACTTCAAACAACAGTACTGACATGCTATGCATTCATTATTACTAATGACTACCTGATTACAGATGTGGCCCCTTATCATATAGTGAGAGAATAGCCAGGAAATATTATAGTGAATATCCCGTGCTCCACTGGCCGAATCGTCTTCAGTTATGCAGGTCAAGATTTTTAAAGGTAGAAAATAAAGGAATTGGAACACAAGAAGAGAAATATCATAAAACTTCTGGTGCCTGGACAGTAGTTAAAAGTTCTGACTGTAAGTTCAGAGATGCATGTTTAAATCCTGCTCTGCTACTTACTAGCTATGTTACCTTGGACAGGTTACATAAAGTCTCTCGGTCTCAGTTTCCTAATCTGCAAATTAAGGATAATAATTTGCAGATTATTATTTATACCTAACTCATAAGGATGTTGTGAGGATCAAATACAATCCTACATGTAAAGCACTCAGGGCATAGCAGGCACTCAATAAACCTTGTCTCTTTTTATTAAGTCACAACGTAGTACATTAATGAAGACGTTGCCTATATAACACATACCTGTATCACCCTTAAAATTTTCTAAAGTGGAGGGAACCAAGTAACATACTTAATAAAATTGTTAAACAGTACATATAACATTACAACCACATTTTATAGCACGGCCATTATATTCTTTCAGATAAGCAAGTATGTATAGGTGTTTTCCATACGATAGTCACAAAATGATTTAAAAGTGAAAGAGAAAGGGAAAATCAGTGATGCCATGGAACAATTCAAGACATATTTAATTTCAGTTTGAACTGAATTCTTAACCTCCGCATTTTTCTCTAAAAGCAAAAGATTGAGTAAAAATAATATATTCCAAATGGTTTCTGTGATTTACCCTATCCTCTCTGGCTGAAGTGTAAAAGGTCCTTATGGCCTGCCCACAGTAGTTTGGGCCTGAGTGTCACATTGAATTGGGCAGGTCATGTAACTAGAGGACCTATGTAAGGCCTACATGAGTAGCTCAGTGAAACAAGACAGTGCTCACACAAGTTTTTAAATACAAAACTTCCTGACACCTCCTCAAAGAATTTGTGAAAGCAGTTCCTCAATCAGCAGTTCACATTTATGTGTGCAATGGGTTCAGAGAAAACTATGAATTACCTTTGAAAACTGACTTTACTTTGTTAGTGGATACCAAGAAAATATTTCTGCACTTAACTTTTAATTTCCTGTGCTTGGGTTGATCCAGCCTTAACATTAAGTCCTTTTCATAAGAAGAAAATCGACTCATCATTGAAACCAAGCTTTGGTACAATTTCATTGATGTTTCCAGAAGCAGGACAACATGCAGAGAGATTAATAAACAAAGTAAAACTTAATTCTGCCAAGCAATATCATAACTTTAGTTTTCATACTATGATTCTACCCTTTGAGAACCATGAGAAAGTCTCAAATATATTAGCTATTATTAATAAATACACATTTAAAAGTCAGTAACTCAAGGCACTAGAAGTGTTCCACAGTAGAAGTTGCTAAAATAAAACTGAATTATTTCTCAATTAAATCCTACTCACAGATAAATCAGAGCCAAATTCACCTAGAAATTTAGAAATTCTAACAGAATCACAAAATATGAGGAATGTGTGGTATCTTTGTCTCCTAATTGGGCTCTCTTCCTCCTCCCAACTTCTAACTATAAACATAGCTCAGTTTGTTGGTAGAATTTCTGTCTTTCTCAGAACACATTCAGTCACGTGGCTTTAACTATTTATTTTCTACACATGACTCCAAAGTTTAGTACTTCAGCCCTCAGCTTACATTCATGTTCCAATATATTTTCTCTGCTTAGTAGAACTTTTCATCTTCTCAAACTTAACATCTAAAATTAGCTCCCACATGTAACTTTTTCTCTCCTAATGAATAATCCCACAAGTTTTCTAGTCATCCAAGCCGAAATCCTCCATATGTGACTTCTTTCCTCATACCCCACATGCAGTCAGGCCCTCAAAATGCTTTGTTTGGATTGGTGGCCCCCAGTGAGCCATGCCCCCCAGTATCATACCTCCCACACTGACTTGCTTTGGCCAATGGGACATGAGCAAGGGTAATACAAGTGAAATCTTGATAAGTACTTGCACACTGTGGCTTATGCCCTCTTGAAATGCTCTCTCATGGAGCCTTGAGCTACCATGCAGAGGTAATGCTACTCTACTGAGGAGATTTTGTGGTGAGAGAGAAGCCCAGCCAGCTGCCACCTGTTCCGGCCATTTAGAGGAGATGCCAGACATGCTACTGAAGAATTCATCATGGCCATCCCAACACCAGCAGACAACCAGTGAAGCAGAAGACAGCTGAGCTCAACCCAGATGGTAGGATTAAGACAAATAATAGGTATTTATGGTTTTAAGTTACTATATTTTGGGTGGTTAGTATGCAGCAACAGATACCTGAAATGTTTTTTATGCAGCCATCCTAAAAATCTCAAGTCTGCAGGGATCTCTACCCCAATCAAATGCTTATTGCACCTTTGTGGACTTTTTTCTTGCTTCTTCATTGTGTAATATATCATCTTGAACCATGGGACTTTTTAATTCATTCATGTTTTCTTCTCTAGCATGACTCTAAGTGTCTTACTTTCTGAATCTAGAATATCATGGACCCAATAATTATTTGTTGAAAAAAGAAAGACAGAAAGAGAGGGAGAAGAAAGAGAGGGAGAATAAAGGGAAGAAAAGCTAGTAAACTACAGAAGAAACAAATTCGTCAAGTCATACTGAACAAAAGTGGACATAAGACCGTGGGTAAAAGTAGGGAGAAGAGTACTGATGTCTTTGCACACTGGGCAAACACAAGAGAAACGTGCTGCATAGATAACTATGACTATAAAATATGGGTCAAGGTAAATGATTGAAACATTTTCTACTTTGCCATAAGATCATGGGAAATAAAACAGAAATAACCACCTTACAGAAACTTTGCTATTATGTACTGACATCACTTCTTTTCAACACATGCTTTTGTAAGTGAAGAAAATGCCATCAATGTAAGCACTATCAATATATTTCCATATATATTTCATGTACAAACTGAATTAAAGGAGACTGAGTTTGTGTTGAAGAGAAATTACCAACAGTCTTATGTTAGGAATACAGTGAGTGATTATAATTGATGACAGTTTTAGCATGGTAGTAATGAGAACAAGGTAGGTTTTTCCCATTTCCCACTCCTATCTTCATCACTAAAATAGATTCAGGGTGTGCCATTTTCTCTTCTTATTAGTCTCTGTCATAAGAACATGGCATCAGAATATTAATGCCTGAAAGAACCTAAAGAAAACAAAGTTTTGTAGCTTTAAGTCTCTGGTGTGTAGAATTGCTAGCTAAGAAAAAAAAACTCAAGTACTTCTTCAGAAATTTTAGTGAAAATTGTCTCATTTGTTAGGTGTTTTTTAAAAAACTCTGTTAGAACAAGTGTTTTGTTAATTAGAAAATTAAGTGATAAATATTAAGATACTGTAAATTGTGTATGGTGTATAGAATTGCTAGCTAAGAAAAAAATTCAAGAACTTCTTTAGAAATTTTAGCGAAAATTGTCTCATTTGTTAGATGTTTTTTAAAAACGCTTTTAGAACAAGTGTTTTGTTAATTAGAAAATTAAGTGATAAATATTAAGATACTGTAAATTTTCAATAAATACTCCTGAATTTCTCCTTACGTTTTGCAAGAAAGGTTCTTTAATAGTAGTATGACTAGATAAACCTCACCTGCAATGCTACCATATGACTAAAATATGGTAATAACAAGGGAAGGTTATTGGATCACATTTATGGCATGTCTAAATTACAATACAAATAAATTTCAATCATGTCAGCTTATCTAGAAACCATCTTCATCACTCAATTAAGTTGAAACAGAAGACGTAAGTTCTTTTGTTCCCAGGAGGTTGCTTTGTTTATCTGCCAAATTCACAAAGACTTCACAATTTATCTACTGGAGCAGCATTCTGAAAAATTCAGTACCATATAAAGACCTCTTAGGGCAAGGCTAAGAGAACTTGACTTAGAGCCAGGAGACTTGGGTCCAAGCAGCTTTTCTACGCATTCCCACTCTGGCCATGGGAAAGCTAATTAACTTCTCCAAGCTTCAGTTTCCTCATCTATAAAATGGGCATAATAATTGATTATGGGGATGTGAGTATTAATACAACTAATGTGGAAAATACTCTGTGAACTCTATTGCATTGGGTCTCAAAGGGTGGTCCTTAGATCAGCAGCATCAGCATCTTTTGGGAACTAGTTAGAAGTAAAAATTCTCGGAACTCATCTTAGATCTACCAAAACAGAGATGCCAAGGTGGGGGACCAGTAACCTCTGTGTTAACAAGGTCCCCAGGTGATTCTGATGGGTGCTGAAGTTTGGCATTGTCACTTACTGGCTTAGGCAAGGGCCTTAATGACTTAACTCAGTGCCTAGGTTTTCTCATTCATAAATGTAGGTTTGAATTGTGCCTACCTCATAGCAATAATATGATTCAATGCGTTATCATCTGTAGGGTACAGAGAACAGTGTCACAAAAGGGGCAAACAGAATTTAAAAGTAGGTTATTATTTTATAATCCAAGTATGATTCTAGGCCCTGGGAATACCAAGGTGAACAAGATAGATATGGTCCCTGGTCTCACAAACAAGACTAACATGAAGAAACAAATAAGCAGCAGAGAAGAAACGATGATAGCCGATTGGAAGCAGCTGTGGTCCTCAGCACTTACAGAGAGGAATGAAAGGAGCAAGTGAATTCAGCACCTTCAGCTGAGATACCTGGGTTCTCGTATTGGGACTGATGAGGCAAACAGCTCAACCCAAGGAGAGCAAAGAGAAGCAGTGCTGGGTGATGCCCCACCCAGGAGTGGCACAGAGCCAAGGGAACCCTCACCCCCAGCCAAAAGAAGCGTGAGTGATTATGGGACCCCACACAGGAAACTTCACTTCTCCCACAGATCTTTGCAACTTGCAGATCAGGAGATCACCTCATGAGCCCATGTCACCAGGGCGTTGGGTCCGTTACATGGAGTTATGTGGAGTTGGCAGAGTGGCCACCCAGGCACACACAGAGAACCCAAAATTTTGCATATTCCAGCCCTGTGCTCTGTGGCAAGGCAAGAGATATGTCCATGCATGTCCCTAGGAAGGAGGCTGAGTCCAGGGAGCCAAATGGCATCACTCTGTGGGCCCCACTTCCACAGTGGCTTGTGGGTTGAGACCCACTGGCTTAGAATTCCAGCCGGCCTACAGCAGCAGGCTGAAGTCTGCTGGAATTGGGATCGAGTTCCCCAGGGGGAGGGGCAGCTGCCATCTCTGTGGATTGGTAGATTTAATCATTTCAGCCTGTCAGCTTTGAAGAATACGGGTGGTCTGGACAAGAAAGGGTCCCCCACAGCAGAGCATAGTTGCCTTGCCAGATCGTAGCCAGACTGCTTCTTTAAGTGAGACCCCAATCCATTCCTCCTCATTGGGCGAGACCTCCCTGTGGCTTCAGCCACTCCAGCAAGGGTTCTACAGACAGAGCTCTGATCTCTCCCTGGGACAAAGCTCCCAGGGAGAGTGGAAGCTACCATCTCTGTGGTTTGGTAGACTCAGCCATTCCAGCCTTCTGCCTCTGGAGAATACAAATGGTCAGGAAGAAGAAGGGTCCCTTCAATGCAGTGCACCTGCTCTACCAAAGGGCAGCCAAGATGGCTTCTTTGGGTGGGTCCCTGATCTCATTCCTGCTGACTAGGTGAGACCTCCCAGGAAGGCTCTCCAGCCACCTCCTATAGGTGTGTTCAGGCTGGCAACAGGTCAGTGCCCCCTGGGACAGAGCTTCCAGAGGAAAGAGAAGGCTGCCATCTTTGCTGTCTTGCAGCCTTCACTGGTGGTACCTCTGGGAATGGGAAAAACCGAGGCAACTATGATTGGAACAGACTCCCAGCAAACCACAGCAGCCCTATGGAAGAGTAGCCTGACTGTTAAAAGAAAAACAAACAGAAACCAACAACAACATCAACATCAACAAAAAAGAACCCACAGAAACTCCATTCAAAGGTCAGCAACCTCAAATATCAAAGGTAAATAAACCCATAAAGATGAGAAAGAATCAATGCAAAAACGCTGAAAACTCAAAAAGCCAAAGTGTCTCTCCTCCTCCACATGACCACAACACCTCTCCAGCAGGGGCACAGAACTAGGCTGAGGCTGAGATGACTGAACTGAAAGAAGCAGTAGGCTTCAGGAGGTGGGTAATAATGAACTTTGTAGAGCTAAAGGAGCATATTTTAACCCAATGCAAAGAAACTAAGACTCATGATAAAACAATATAGGAGCTGAAAGCCAGTACAACCAGTTTAGAGAGGAATATAACCAACCTGATGGAGCCAAAAGACACAACATGAGAACTTCATAATGCAATCACAAGTATCAATAGCAGAATAGAACAAGCAGAGGAAAGAATCTCAGAGCTTGAAGACTATCTTTTTGAAATAAGACAGGCAGACAAGAATAGAGAAAAAGGAATGAAAAGGAATGAAAAAACCTCCGAGAAATATGGGATTATGTAAATAGACCAAACCTAAAACTGATTGGGGTACCTGAAAGAGATGGGGAGAATCGAACAAAGTTGGAAAACATACATCATGATACCATCCAGGAGAACTTCTCCAACCTAGCAAGACAGGCCAACATTCAAATTCAGGAAATGCAGAGAACCCCAGTAAGACACTCCATGAGAAGATCAAACCCAACACACATAATCATCAGATTCTCCAAGGTTGAAACGAATGAAAAATTGTTAAGGACAGCCAGAGAGAAGGGTCAGTTCACCTACAAAAGAAAGTCCCTCAGACTAATAGCCGACTTCTCAGTGGAAACCCTACAAGTCAGAAGAGACTGGGGGACAATACTCAACATTCATTTTTCTTTTTTTTTTTTGTGAATGGGCAGTGGCTCACCTCATGGTGGACTGCCCACCCTAATATTCTTAAAGAAAAGAACTTCCAGCACAGAATTTCATATCCAGCCAAAGTAAGCTTCTTAAGTGAAGGAGAAGTAAGATCCTTTTCAGGCAAGCAAATGCTGAGGTAATTTGTCACCACTAGGCCTGCCTTGCAAGAGTTCCTGAAAGAAGCACTAAACATGGAGAGGAAAAAACACTACCAGCCACTACAAAAACACATTGAAGTACCCAGACCTGTGACAATACAAGCAATCGCATAAACAAGTCTGCAAAATAACCAGCTAGCATCATGATGACAGGATCAAATTCACCCATAACAATACTGACCTTAAATGTAAAATGGGCTAAATTCAACAATCAGAAGATACAGAATGGCAAATCTGATAAAGAGCCAAGACCCATCAGTATGCTGTCTTCAAGAGACCCATCTCACATCCAAAGACACACATAGGCTCGAAATAAAGGGATGGAGAAAAATTTGCCAAGCAAATGGAAAACAGAAAAAAGCCAGAGTTGCAATCATAGTTTCTGACAGAACAGACTTTAAACGAACAAATCAAAAAGACCAAGACGGGCATTACATAATGATAAAGAGTTCAATTCAACAAGAAGATCTAACTACTCTAAATATATATGTACCCAATACAGGAGCATGCAGATTCATAAAGCAAATTCTTAGAGACCTACAAAAAGACTTAGAATCCTACACAAGAATGATGGGAGACTTCAGCACCCCTCTGTCAATATTAGATCATTGAGACAGAAAATTCACAAAGATATTCAGGACCTGAACTCAGCTCTGGATCAAGTGGACATGAAAGACATCTACAGAACTCTCCATCCAGAAACAACAGAATATATATTCTTCTCATAGCCATATGGCACTTACTTTAAAATTGATCACATCATTTGAAGTAAAACACTCCTCAGCAAATGCAAAAAAAAAACCTGAAATCATAACAAATAGTCTCTCAGACCACAGCACACAGCACAATCAAATTAAAATTCAAGATTAAGAAATTCGCACAAAACCACACAACTACATGGAAATTAAACAACCCGTTCCTGAATGACTCTTGGGTAAATAATGAAATTAAGGCAGAAATAAAGAAGTTCCTTGAAACTAATGATAATAAAAAGACAACATACCAGAATCTCAGGGACACAGATAAAGCAGTGTTAAGAGGGAAATTTATAGTACTAAATGCCCACATCAGAAAGCTAGAAAGATCTCAAGTTAACAACCGAACATCTCAACTGGAAGAGCTAGAGAACCAAGAGCCAACAAACTCCCAAGCTAGCAGAAGACAAGAAATAACCAATATCAGAGCTGAACTAAAAGAGAGAGAGACACGAAAAACCCTTCAAAAAATTCAACAAATCCAGGAGCTGGTTTTTTTAAAAAATTAAAAAAAATAGACCACTAGCTAGACTAATAAGAAAACAGAGAAGAATCAAACAAACACAATCAGAAATGATAAGGGGTTATTACCACTGACTCCACAGAAATACAAACAGCCATCAGAGAATACTATAAACACCTCTATGCACATAAACTAGAAAATTTAGAAGAAATGAATAAATTCCTGCACACATACACCCTCCTAAAACTGAACCAGGAAGAAATTGAATCCCTGAATAGACCAATAACAAGTTCTGAAATTGAGGCAGTAATAAATAGCCTACCAACCAAAAAAAGCCCAAGACCAGACAGATTCACAGCTGAATTCTACCAGAGGTACAAAGAAGAGTGGGTACCATTTCCACTGAAACTAGTCTAAAAAAAATTGAAAAAGAGGGACTCCTCTCTAACTCATTTTAAGAGGCCAGCCTCATCCTGATAGCAAAACCTGGCAGAGATACAAAAACAAAAGAAAACTTCAGGCCAATATCCTTGAGGAATATCGATGCAAAAATCCTCAATAAATTACTGGCAAACCAAACCCAGCAGCACCTCAAAAAGCTTATCCACCACGATCAAGTTGGCTTTATCCCTGGGATGCAAGATTGGTTCAACATAAGCAAATCAATAAATGTAATTCATCACATAAACAGAACTAAAGACAAAAACCACATGATAATCTCAATAGACACAGGAAAGGCATTTGATAAAATTCAACATCCGTTCATGTTAAAAACTCAATAAACTAGGTATTGAAGAAATGTACCTCAAAATAAAAGACAAAACCAAGCCAATATCATACTGAATGGGCAAAAGCTGGAAGCAGTCCCCTTGAAAACTAGCACAAGACAAGGATGCCCTCTCTCAGCACTCCTGTTCAATGTAGTATTGGAAGTTCTGGCCAGGGCAATCAGGCAAAAGATGGAAATAAAGGGATTCAAATAGGGAGAGAGGAAGTCAAATTATCTTTTTTGCAGATGACATGATCCTATAAATAGAAAACCTCATTGTCTCAGCCCAAAAGCTTCTTAAGTTGATACACAACTTCAGAAAAGTCTCAGGATACAAAATCAATGTGCAAAAACCTCTAGCACTCCTATACACCAACAACAGGCAAGCAGAGAGCCAAATCATGAATGAAGTCCCATTCACAATTGCTGCAAAAGAATAAAATACCTATGAATACAACTAACAAGGAAAGTGATGGACCTCTTCAAGGAGAACTACAAACCACTGCTCAAAGAAGTCAGAGGAGACACAAACAAATGAAACTACATTCCATGCTCATAGATAGGAAGAATCAGTATCATGAAAATAGCCATACTACCCAAAGTAGTTTATAGATTCAATACTATTCCCATTAATTATGATTGACATTCTTCACAGAATTGGAAAAAACTATTTTAAAATTCATATGGAACCAAAAGAGAGCCTGAATAACCAAAAACAATCCTAAGAAAAAAGAACAAAGCTGGAGGCATCATGCTACCCAACTTCAAACTACTACAAGCCTACAATAACCAAAACAGCATGGTACTGCTACAAGAACAGACACACAGACCAGTGGAAGAGAATAGAGAACTCAGAAATAAGACTGCTCACCTACAACAATCTGATCTTTAACAAATCTGACCAAAACTAGCAATGGGGAACAGATTCCCTATTTAATAAATAGGGTTGGGAGAACTGGCTAGCCATATGCAGAAAATTGAAACTGTACCCGTTCCTTACACCTTATACAAAAATTAACTCAAGATGGATTAAAGACTTGAGTGTAAAACCCAATACTATAAAAACCATAGAAGAAAATCTAGGTGATACCATTCAGGACACAGGCACAGGCAAAGATTTCATGATGACAATGTCAAAAGCAATTGCAACAGCAGCAAAAATTGACAAATGGTATCTAATTAAACTAAAGAGATGTACAGCAAAAGAAACTATCATCAGAGTAGACAACCTATAGAATGGGAGAAAATTTTTGCAATCCATCCATCTGACAAATTATGTCTACATAATCTATTATGTCTACATTATAGACATCTAATAGATGTCTAATATCCAGAATGTACAAGTAACTTAAACAAATTTACAAGAGAGAAACAAATAACCCCATTAAAAAGTGGGCATAGAATATGAATGGACACTTCTCAAAAGAAGACATACATGCAGCCAACAAACATAAGAAGAAAAAGCTTGACATCATTGATCATCAGAGAAATGCAAATCAAAACCACAATGAGATACCATCTCAGTCCAATCAGAATGACTATTACTAAAAAGTCAAAAAACAACAGATGCTGACAAGGTTGCAGAGAAAAAGGAACGCTTTTATACTGTTGGTGGAAGTGTAAATTAGTTCTGTGGAAGACAATGTGGTGATTCCTCAAAAACCTAAAGGCAGAAATATCGTTTGACCCAGGAATCCCATTACTAGGTATATACCTAAAGGCATATAAATCATTCTATCATAAAGATACATGCACATGTGTGTTCACTGCAGCACTATTCACAATAGCAAAGACATGGAATCAACCTAAATGCTTATCAATGATAGACTGGATAAAGAAAATGTGGTACATATACCCATGGAATACTATGCAGCCATTAAAAGGAATGAGATTATGTCCTTTGTAGGAACATAGGACATGTTCCTATTGTCAGAAGTTGGAAGCCATTATCCTCAGCAAACTAACACAGGAACAGAAAATCAAACACTGCACATTCTCACTTACAAGTGATAGCTGAAGGATGAAAACACATGGACACATGATGGGGAACAACACACACTGGGGCCTCTTGGAAGGGGCATTGGGAGAGGAAGAGCATCAGGAAGAATAGCTAATGGATGCTGGGCTTAATACCTAAGTGATGGGATGATCTGTGCAGCAAACCACCATGGCACACATTTGCCTATGTAATAAACCTGCACATCTGGCACATGTACCCCTGAACTTCAAATAAAAGTTGAAGGAAAAAAAAATAAATACAATAAAGTAAAATACAAAAACAAATAAGCAATGTAATTTCAAAAAGTGATAAGTGCTACAGATTTTGTGGTAATACGACCAAATGGAGGGATTAGGATGAGAAGGAAGACCTCTCTATGCAGATGGCATTTAATCTGAAAGCTGAATGAGGAAAAGGAGCGGCCAAATGAAAATCTGGGGAAAAAACACTCAGGTAGAGGACACAGAAGTGCAAAGGCCACGAGGCAGAAAGGCACTGCCTTGTTTAAGAAATAGAAAGAAAGATAGTACCTGGTACAATAATGAGGCAGAAAGTGGAAGGTGGCACGGTCCAAAATGTGGGCAACAGTTACAGTACCTGGGACCGTGTAGGGCTTTTCAAGAGATTGGGTTTCATTCTAAGTGTTATGGGAAATCTTGTGGAATGTTTAAGCAAGATAGTGACAAGATCTGATCATGAAAGAGAAGATGGACAATAGAAGGGGCATAGTGGAAGCATTGAGACAAGTCAGGAGGCTACTGCAATAACATGGGCAAGAGAAAATTGAGTTGTGGTGGTGGAAGTAGAGAAAGTTAACTGATTAAAAGGATATTTTTTTGGAGGAATAGTCAACAGAATTTACAGATGAATCAAACATGGTCGGGTCAGAGTGGGAGTGAGGAAGAAAGGAAACAAGGACATGTCCTATTACTAAATCTATTAGGCCTGGTTTGTTGAGTCCTTTCAAATATCTAACAATTTAGTTCTAAGGCAAATAACAAAACAGGAAATGCAGAGGGGATTTCAGCTCAACTCTGCCACAAATCAGCTGTGTGATCCTATGCAAGTCACTCTGGGTTCTTCCATTCCCTCAAAGAGCCCAAGGTCACTGAGGCAAGACTTGAGAATTTCCTTACACTTGGGTTAGTAGAGCAATGCTACTCTCCCTAAAGGCCCCAGTGAACTCCCACAAGTCAAATCCAGTAGCTGCTTTCCTAGCCAAGAACAATCCTAGGCAAAAAGAACAAAGCTGGAGGCATCACGCTACCCAACGTCAAACTATACTACAAGTATGAGCCCTTGACATTCTCTCCTCTCTTAGCTTTCACAGACCCATTCCCTCTGGTTCTCCTTCTTCGTCTTGGATTATGCCTTCTCTTTTTCTAACCACATATATCTCTTCTTTTTTTATTCCCAACATGTTGTGATTCTGTAGGGTTCTTCCTTCAGCAGCCTACATCTCACCCTACATCCATGGCTTCAACTACCTTTATGGATTAATGACTACCAAAATCTATAGATCCAGGCCTATGCATCCAATGACTTAGTGGGTTTTTACTTACTGAAATTTCATAGTCACTTCAATGCAATAATATGTCTTCCTCCTATTTACCTATTTGGATAAATAGAACCAAGATTCACATGCTCATTAGAATAATAATAATATTAAAAGTTCAAACATCTACTTTGAAAGTTCTAGGGCCTTCCAGATAGTTAATATGTCACTGTCACTTCCTTTGACTTCCCACTGTTTTTGCCTTAGCTCTGGCTGTCATCATCTCTTACCTGGACCATTTCAACAGCCTTTCACTTTCTCCGTCAGTCTCCCTAGCATCTACATCACAGTCAGGGTGATATTTCTAAAATGCAAATACAATTGATCTGATTCTGTCATTCTCCTGCTTACAATCCTTCAATAGGCTGCACACCACCAATTCAAACTCCTTGGTATGGCATTCAGAGTCCTCTGTGATCTATCTCCTGCCCATCTGCCCAGCTTCCATATAAGGAACTTACATAAACCCTAATCCAGAGCATACCTGGAGTGTTTTAGTAACAGCTGGGAGGCCAGCGTAGCTGGAGTGGAGT